>NC_000006.12:97040486-97192002 GCF_000001405.40 Homo sapiens | reverse complement strand
ACCATTATCTCAAATTGAGGCTTTGTAAAAGTCTCTTCATACCTAGAAGTTGTCTATTGTTTTTTCTCATTTTTTGAAGACAAGATTGGATTGATGATTTTTTGGATAACTTCCACTGTTTAAATTTCAGGGATTTTTTGTTTTTCTGATAATGCCATTACCTTAGTTATGTTATATTCTTCCTGGATAATAAGGCAGAGTAAGCCCTGTTTCACAGATACAAGCAAGTATGATGAGAGGATTCAGTGTCTAAGATTTTTTAGTGAGTTTAGCTGAAGCTAAAAATGGTTATAGAGTGTCCTGATTCCCATTTAGTTTTCCATCAGATCAATAAGATACTTGGAATAATTACTCATAGTGGTTTGGAACAACTTTTTGACTTAAAATTTTCCATTATATTTTTCACTAATAAAGATTTTTTTAAAGTTACCATGTTTGCAGTAGAGTTAAAAGAATTCAATTATTGCTGTTAATCCTTACCAGTCATATTTATTATATTATGCTTTTTCCATGTGATGAAAAGTCCATCAATAGACAATTTTAATTTTCCTTAAACTTTGAGGCATCATGTATTAGAAATAATTAATATACAACTGTGAATACCAGGAAAGTGGTATATAGGATGTCATACCTTATTCTATAACAGTTATAGGAGAAACAATGGTATGCCAAGATTAGAGGCGAAAACTATAAGCAGTGGTCCAGTAAGTGTTCCCAGAAGCCTGCCTAAGTTACTAGGGAGGAGCAGAAACTGAGAGACCAGACTGGCAGGTAGAAGTTTCAGGTACAGGGTTCCATGCGTCTCATATGATAGATGCCTCAATAAATTTGTGTGTCTGTGGGGATAAGGTATCTGTGTGGGAGTAGAGAGGTGGGGGCAAAATGGATAAGTAAACATGAAATCAAAGCAAGAAGTAGCAGACAAATAAAAACAGGAAATCTTGGAAAGTGGGGCAAAAGAGCAGTCAGATGAAAGAATCAGGAAAATACTTGAAGATAATGAGGAAAGCTAAAGGAGGCAGGGTAACTGAGCTAAAATAGAAGCGTAGGAACACCTGGATAATTGGTATGTGAAAGTGTGGGTGTTTATATAGTGTAATGATAGGCTTCTAAACTTTTCAGAATGTTATTTCCTGTGGTCTTCACAATAACCCTGTTAGGTGGATATAGCAACAATTGTTCCTGTTCTTGACTCTAAAGAAAACAGCGAGTTGGGAGGTTACTTGTTTTTCCAAAGCCACACTGCTCTGGATAGCTATGCTAATAACCATGTTTATTACGCAGCATAATTACTCCTTTTGTCTCAATTTTCTCATATATAAGATTTGAATAATAATTATGCCTACCTCATAGGGTGAGAAACGATGCTTATAAAACACTTTGCATGGTGCTGGTCTCATAGTAAATACCAGTAAATGCTGGATGTTGCTGTTATTTCCACCATGAGAGCTGCAATTTGAATAACTTGACATTCAGCAAATTTATTTTCTACTATACTGTATTGTATCTTTTATAATGTAAGAGAGCTGGTTACATGTGTGTATTTCCTTATCTGATCTTGTATTTCCAAACTGATCTTAATGTGAAATCTGTCTTTACTCAAATAAAACAATTGCCAAGTGTTGGGAGATCCTACATCCTTGTGTTATGTCTTTCAGTTTCTGACCAGAAATCACATATTTTTCCTTTTATGCAAAAAATCTACTTACATATTTCTACTGTTTGTGTTGAAGAAGGTAAATAATGCCTCATAAAACAGCCATCACCTAGAACTATATTACATTCTTTATAATATTTTATGTATGTTTTGTGTTTTCTTTTACATTGTTACCTCTAGTGACAGAGCTTCTTCTTTGCATTTTTGTAAATGTACCTTCAGCAGATATGCAGTGGTCACATCTAATATAATTTATTTTTCAGTAGTCTGTATAATTAGTTTTCTGGTTCAAACATGTGATTTTAAAAAATTACCAGTGTCTGCAAGGAGTATTTCTAGCTATTTGGCTATAGTGCAAAAATTTGGTTCTTCCTTCAGACTTCTATTACAGTGCACTCTTGGCATTTCCTGTATTTGTCACTCACTGATTTCTTTATGCTTAAATAAATTATTATTATAAGGTCTTAAACAACTAGGTTCTGGTTTAAAATAGCAGGTAATCATTTCTTCTTATCCAGACTGAAAAAGCTTGAACTTTCAAACTATTGAGCAGGAAACATTTTGCATATTCCCGGGGATATTAGCTGCTTTTCAAATCCAAAAACACAAAGTGGGTGCACATTTCCAACACAAGTGTGGTTTGGGGTCAGTGTCTTACCCTTAGTTGAAACTTGTCTTAGCTGTTTTAACTCAACCTTGGAGGATGTAATCTATAGCTTTAAAATTTTTTACCTCACAATGGTTTTTTTTTTTTAATTAATTATTCTTTTTTTTTTTTTTTTTTTTTTTTTTTTGGAGACAGAGTCTCGCTGTTGCCCAGGCTGGAGTGCAGTGGTGCAATCTCAGCTCACTGCAACCTCTGCCTCAAGCAATCCTCCAGCCTAAGCCTCCCAAGAAGCTAGGACTACAGGCACATGTCACCACGCCCGGCTAATTTTTTGTATTTTTAATAGAGATGGGGTTTCACTATGTTGCCCAGGCTGGTCTTGAAATCCTGAGCTCAGGCAATCCACCCACCTCAGCCTCCCAAAATGCTGGGATTAGAGGTATAAGCCACTGCACTCGGCTTTTTTTTTTTTTTTAAACCTAATGGATTCAGAACTTTGAGTCCTATCCCCACGTTAGCTCATACTTATACTCCCTGGTACCTCAACGTTTTGTTGTGGAGAGGTCAAAGGTGGTTCACATTTGTTGGCCTTTCTCATTATTGCCTTGAATACATGTTTTCTAGCATCTCTTCTTATAGTCTTTCCTAATGTTAGAATTCTGATGTTGCTCCTGGCCCTTCAAAAGACACAGCTACATGTGGCTTTTCCAGCCCCTTTTCTTAAGCTTTCTGAAATTCCTTTATTTTATTTATTATTATTATTATTTTTAAATTATTTTGAGAAAGTCTTGCTCTGTCACCCAAGTTGGAGTGCAGTGGCACAATCTCGGCTCACTGCAACCTCCACCTCCTGGGTTCAAGCAATTCTCCTACCTCAGCCTCCTGAGTTGCTGGGATTACAAGCGTGTACCATCATGCCCGGCTAATTTTTTTGTATTTTTATTAGGGAGGGGATTTCACCATGTTGGTCAGGTTGGTCTTGAACTGCTGGCCTCGAGTGATCCACCCACCCTGGCCTCCCAAAGTGCTGGGATGAAATTTCTTTAACCTAAGTAGAAAGAGAAGATAATTTATCAATGTTTAATTCACTTAAAACTTGTGTATGTGTAGGCGCATAAGGGTGCATGTCTTAGTGTGTAAAAAGAAAAGTGGGCTTCAGAGTCAGATTTAAGTTCAGATGATGGGGCCAGCCCTTTCTAGCCATGTGACCTTTGGGCATATTTAGCTTTCCTACTGTTAGCTTCGTCATCTATAAAGAGGATTAATGATACCTATCTCATAGAGTTGTTCCGATTTTAAAAGAATTTAATTAATTTAAGGAATTTCTAGCACATATATAGAGGTCGATCAGAAATGTTACTCCTTCCTAGGGAATAGGTTTTAGTTAGTAAATAAAATGGCTTTTTTAGATATGGTGAGCAAAATCCATCCTACTCAAGTACCATAAGTTATTTATTGTCTTTTGAAACCAATATACTTTGAAAAAGCTATAAAGGGCAGTAGAAATGGTGGTATTATTTTACATGGATTCCACTGTGTAGAAATGTACTGTGAACTTTGCTATGTTGATATAGGCAGTTGAGTTAGTTGCCAGATAGATTTTAGTGGTTTGTTATTTATCTCACTCTAAGATAAAGGAACTGAAATGGTTCTCTAGCCACTAGTTCAAGTTGAAAGCATCTCAAGAAGTTTTTACAGAGAGGACATAGCAGATATTTGGTTAGCTTTTATGAGAATTGTTTACTGTATACTCTTTCCCCAGCCATTTGTTCACTTGTTTTTTGAATATTTCCTGTAGTATTAAGTAATATCCCATAATTTTCCAGGAATTCCAATGTAAAGGGGCTCAAGGCCCTAATGTTATACAGTTTATACTTAGAATTTTTACTCACTCTTGGGTAGTTATGCGAAATATTCTAAGATGTGATCTTATAACCAGCTTGATCTTTTTGTGGGATTGCTTTAGATACACATGCTAGTTCTGTGTTTTGTATAGTTCTTTCATGTTATCCACTTCCCCTAAACTGTTTAAAAACATCAAACATCTTTTTTAAAGTACTTAATTATTTTTCTTAGTGGAATGCTATCTCTATTAAAGGAAGTCTTCTCCATAATTTCCATTGGTTATTTTTTGCTGCTTTCTGTATAATTGAAAAAAAAATGCAAATGTAAATGTATCCATGCATTTATGTCTACTCAGTTGATCTGGCAGTAATATAAACAGAAACAGGAATAATAGCATGGTTGTACATTTAGTTTTAAATAATCATATTATCAGTGGGTGCACAACATAAATGCCTTCTGTTCCACATCACTAAGAAGATCTCTTATTTCCCTCTCTTTGGTAACCTCAATTTCCTGCACGTTTCTATTAAGGTCTAGAGATATCTAAATTTTCGATTGAATTAATCAGCAAAGGTGAGTAAATGATTAATCAAAATTTGAGGCAGTATCGAATTATGTTTTATTATTTTATGAAGAGCAACTTGTTATTGTATATTATTGCCTACCAAGTGAGAATGATTATGAATCTTTTGGGACCAAAGTAGTAAGATTGTATCTAGCATAGTTTTGTCTACTACACAAGGCCTGTGTCTTCTAAACAAGGAAAGTATTTTAATTTAAAATACCACGCATAAGCCAGTTGTACTTACCTTCCTCTTGGTACATCCATGTCCTAAAGCCCTCAGGAGAAAATTGTTTTAAAAATTGTTTTCATGTCTAGATTTTAAGTAAAAATCACTTGTCATGTGTGAGTTGCAAAATGCAGACCTTCATTCTGAAGCTGCCTCTTTCTCATTTGGATCTGACATATTAAAAAGCATATAATTAATGGTTGACATTAGTAGTTAACATTAACTTTATGATGCTTAATATGCCATCATTCATCCATCAAACAACCAGAAATGCATAATGTCTTGGCATAAAGGTTTTAATTATATAAAATGTTTCTCATATGATATAAATGGAAAAAGCTCAAAATGTACTTTAAGAAGATTTTTGTAAGCATTTATTAAGGGTGTTAGCTGTATTTTTATTTCTTTTTAGGAGTATGCATCAACAATTGTGTCAGGAACTTCAAAGGGACAATGTGGACCTATTTGTACAGTCTTCATTATCGGCTAAAGAGCGCCACCTTGCTGCAGTTGCCAGTGCACTGTGGAGACATTTCTTTTCATTTTTGAAGAGTCAGAGAATGTCACAGGTAGTGCCTTTCTCACAACTTGCGGATGCAGCTGCAGGTCAGCATTAATTATTAATTTGCTAATTTCTCTTTTTGCAGACTCTTTGTCAGTATTTTCCTTTATTTTCTTAGTAACAAACTCTTGTATAGCAAACATTTTGTCAGCCAGAAAGATGAAACAAATTACATATTAATAAATTGGGATCCTTTGGCTTATTTATTGCTAAAAATTAAATGATTATTTACTAAAAATAAGATAATTTTCTATCCTGAAAATATTGAATATACATAAGCTTTTCTTATGCATGTAATATTTTGGAAGGTAAACTAGCATTTGATTACGTGTGATTCAAGTAGTTTATTTTCAAATTGTATGAGCAGATACATAGGTATAAGATGAAGTTAATTTGTGTAAAGAGCAAAAGAATATAAAATAAATACCACTTCAATCCCAAGAAGATGAGATCAGAATGACACTGAATATATAGGATGTTATTGTTCTGACTTCTACTAGATTCTACTTTAAGTTGTAATTTTTACTTAATTTGATTATTAACCTAAAGACATGTCCTTAGGCTTTAAGGGACTCTGGATCTCATGAAATTATAGGTAAGAATTTGAATATATGCGCATATATATCATTTCTAAGAAGAGGCCATTGTCTTCTCAAGGGGGTATTTTGCTCAAAATATGTTAAGAAGTATTGGAATAGACAGTGATTAGTATGGTAACTCCATGTACTTGAATGAAGTCCATTTAAAGGTATTTAATTTATTTTTAAATAATAGTTTTAAAAACCTAAGATTTAAACCAATATTTATCCTAGTGTATACGAGGAAAACTGAGCTTAAAGTGCTGTGTAAAAGACTAATGATTTAAATTTGAAAAGATTTTGAATTCTGATAACACTTCTATAATTAGGACTTTACGATGATAGATTAAAGAATTGTGACAGGACAACAATTTTCCAACTACTGTAATGTCTATGAAAATAAATATTGATATTCAGCCAGTTTAAGCAGTCATTAATAGATGATATAACTTGTGTACATGCATCATCCCAACTGCCAGTCAACAAAAATAATAATGCATCAGTTCAGTCAGTGCTGTCTTAGATGCTGAAGATAAATGGTATATAAATAGAAAGCAAAATATGTGTACTTTGGCTTTGATTTGAAATAAAGACTTGATAGTTTAGGAGAGAATGATTTTCTTCATTTAAAAAAAGTTACTGAATACCTAGTTTAATAGGCATTGGAGAGATACTAATGGAGAAGAAGGACAAAAATACTTGTTCTGATGGAGCTCATAATCTAGTGTTGGGGCATAGGAAGACCACTAAATGAGTAAATAGTGTAATGTGTGGTGATAAATGCTGTGGGAAAGAGTGGAATATAGGATAGGAATACAGAAGGCCAGAGGCAGTTGTGATTTTAAATAGAGTGGTCAGGAAGGCCCAAGTAAGTAATATTTGTGCAAAGAACTGAAGGAGATGAGAGACCATGCTTTGCAGAAGTCTGAAGGCAAGAACATGTCTGGTGTGTTTGAGAAACTATAGGGAAGCAGCAAAGGCTCATGTGGAATGAGAAAGGGAAAGAGAACTAAGAGATGGATCAAGAGGTAATGGAGAGCTAGTTTGTGTTCTGCCTTGTAAGTGGTTATAAAGACTTTTGGTTTTACTCTGAGATTGGAAGCTGTTGAAAAGTTTTGAGCAGAGGAGTGATAAGAGTCCTCTGGCTGCTAGGTTGAGGCTAGACTTATAGGAAGACTAGGCAAGGGGAAAAGCAGGAAGGCAGTTAGGGAACTATTGTAATAACCCAAAAATGAGCAGCTGTGGCTAGAGTGGTGGCAGTAGAGGTGGTGAGAAGTGGTCAGGTTTCCCATCTGAAGAAAGTATTTTCAAGGTAGAGATGACAGAATTTGCTAAGTGGGTAAGATACGGTAACCAAATAGATAAAGAGAGGAATTAAGGGTAACTATAGCCATTTGCTGAGATGAGGAAGATTGAGGCTAGAACAGATTTTATGAGGGAAGATTAACATTTTTGGTAATTTTTTTTAAGATGTTCATTAAATCCAAGTAGGCATGTTAAGTAGGCACTTAGATAATGATCCTAGAGTTCAGGAAGAGGTCCAAGCTAGAGATTTGAAGTTGGAAAGCATCCATATATAAATAATTCTTTAAAACCATGAAACTGGATGAGATCACCCATAGAGCAAGTATGGATGAAAAGAAAAGTTTGAGGACTGGGCCTTAGGGTATTCCTTTGTTCAGATTTGTAGGGTCAGGAGAAACAAGAAAGGAGACTGGAGAGGAATGAAGGTAAGTTAAGAAAAAGCAGGGAAGTGTGGTGCCGTGGAGCCCAAAGAGAGGAAAGTGATCAACAGCTCAGTTTCTATAGATGGATCAAGTGAGATAAGGTCTGAGAATTAGTCATTGGATTTAATAAGAGGGAAGTCACTGGTGACCTGAAAGAGCAGTTTGTATGTAGTGGAGAGGCAAAGGCCTGATAGAAGATGATTCCAGAGAAAAGGTGAAAAGAGCAATTCCAGACTGCAAATTTAGATTAATCTTTTTGAATATCACTGTTTAAGAGAAGTAGAAAAATGGGGATAGTAGCTAGAGGGGTCAAAGAGGAAGGTTTGTTTTTGTTTGGTTTTTAAATAACATGGGAGACATTTCAGTATATTTAAAATGCTGACAGGAATGCTCCAAAGTGAAGGAAAATTGCATGGTACAAACAAAGTCACTTTTGTTTTAGTGCCCAGATAAAATGGGATCTTATAGAGAACTTGGCCTCAGTTCATCTCTAGTAGCAGAAGAGAAGGCAGAATAAGTGAGCCCAGATGAAGGCAACTGCGTAAATGTGGTAGCAGCTTGTGATAGTTCTCTTCTGATGTTTCTTGTTTCTCTGTGAAGTATTAAGTCAGTCCATCAGCTGAAAATGAGGAAGGGGCAGAAGGTGCTGGCTGTTGATGAAGAGTGAAGAGAAGATATGCAATTGTACCCTAAGAGAATAAAAGACTGAATGGACTAGGGAAATGTCATAGGAATGCTGGCCAATTCTAAGAGCCTACTTGAAGTCTGTAGTCATAAATGTAAAGTGGTATCAGTCAGCATGGTTCTTCTTCAGCCATTTAATACTGGTACATGTGGGGAAAAGGCCAAGAGTTTGAATTAAACAGGTGATGATTTTTCCAGGCGAGTACACAAATCAAGAAAGGAGCAAGAGTTGGTAGTATAAATGAATGAGTATAATAATGGACCATGCAATCAAGTGTCCTAAAAAGGGACAGGGAAGGCATGGAGACAAGGAGGGATGAGGAAATGGTTGTAGGATCAGTGGATTTTAGGTCCTGATGGAATCAAAGAATTGTTGGAGTTGGGGGAGAAGAGGAAAGTTGGAAAGCTAGTTTGGAGTCAAAAATTGGGGTACTTTACAATTGAAATTACTGAGATTGTAGTTACTGGTAATGCCAAGGTCGCTGGGTATCAGCATGGGAGTGAATGGCTGACGTAGAATGGAAGATAGATTCATTAAATCAGAGGAGTTCAAGAAATCAAGAGTCCATGACACTGGAGAAAAATAATCACAAAAGATTATGGCAGGAGTGCTGTTGGAGAGCATGATAGTGAGCTACAGTCTACAAAGAATGAGAGGAGGAGGTGAACTAGGAAGTAGTAGGTAAATGCAACAAAGATAGTGACTGATATAACCTGATGATATGAAATTCAAAGCTAGCAATTTTAGGGAGGAAGAGGGGAGAATAGTCTAGAAGCAGCAATGTGGACCAAGGAGTAATCTCACCCTGTTGGTAGATCAAGTGGTATACGGGGAGTGGGAAAATAGACAGCCACCCCGTTTCAGAAAGCTGCATAGGAGTTCTTAATAAATAATGTATTGGCAAACAAATTAATATCATACAAAATGAGTTTATGGGTTCCCAAGAAAAATCACAAAATAAAACATATTTGTTTAGCATGGTTAACTAAGGAATTCTAGTTCCTAGACTTTGTGGGTTCTAAAGGAAGTGGAGTGTCATTGATTGTAGGAGATCTCTGTTTAATAGAAGAGAATGTCCAGTGTCTAAGGTGAGAAGGAACTGTTCACCTGTGGCAGATGACAGGCAAATTTGCTTCCTTAGAAGACTAGATGCTGGACATATTTTATAAATAGGTCTTTTGAATGGTGGAGGCACATTAGCCAAAACCTCAGGCATAGAATTTGTAATTAGAGGGAGCCATTATAGATCTGTAATGATAATGCAGAGATAAATTCTTCTAGGCCTTTCTTGGAGATCTAGATGCTACAGAAATTTCTATGACAACATGAATTTGTTCAGTTTTAGCTTTTTGTTTGCTCTACATTTCTAAGTAGAACATTTTATTATTTGTTACTTAAAAAAAAAAAAAACACTTGTTATAATTGGCCAGGGGTGTGTGGGTCAGAAATGGTTTTTAAAGATTCCTGACTTTAAGTTTCTCTCATTTTGAATCTAGACTTTACTTTGCTAGCAATGGACATGCCAAGCACAGCTCCATCAGATTTTCAGCCTCAGCCAGTTATATCAATTATTCAACTTTTTGGTTGGGATGATATCATCTGCCCTCAAGTTGTAGCAAGATATTTAAGTCATGTCCTACAAAATAGGTACGTGCTTTTATTTCAGGCATACACATTAATGCAAACCTGTGACAGATCAGTATCCTAGGAAGCTAAGAATTTTCACAAATGAGGACTGATCTCTACTACATATACTCTCACTTTGTCAGGTTTTTGCTTTCAGATATATCAGCCTTTCGACAGTAGTAATAGTAAGAACACTAACTTATATTTTGTGGCCTGCTTTAAAAAAAAAAAGTTGTTTGTTAAGCCCTTTCAAAACTGTTTTTGTAAGACTGCCTTATCATCATACTGAAGTGACCTTTCTACACATCCCACTGTGAAAGAAATTACACATTTATTATTACTGAATCTGTAAGATACTGGTATTTATTACAGTCTTCGTTTTAATGATAGCTTTCCTTTTTGCTGCTAGATTTTTAACTGTTAACTCACTCTTAACTCATGAGATCATGAGTTTTCACTCTTAACTCATGAGATCATGAACAAGATACTTCACCTGAACAATGTCTTCCTTATCTATAAGTATTTCCTGCCACATTACACAAGAGATCTGAGGAACCTCATTGGAAAAAAAAATAGAATGAATAAAGTTACAATAGAAATAGTGTAGAGTGGTCAGGAAGACTTGAATAAGAACATCAAGATGAGAGAAAATAAAATAAATATACAAGCCTAAGAGGTCTTAGTCCTCTTTTTAGTAACAACTGCTTGTAGAGTGAGAGAGCATATTCATGACCACTTCTCTGTTTATTTTTTCTAGGGTTTTTATTTTTATTCTACTTGCCACTTTCTTCATTACTATCTCACATAGCTAGTTATAATAAGCCCTTGCTTTTCTCTTGGTAGCCATAGTCTTTCCTGTCTTCGTCCTTAGCATAAACCTACACATACGTCGTGTGTACACATGGCATATGTGTAGGTTTATGAGATCTTAGTCCTCTTAGGCCTGTGTATTTATTTTATTTTCCCTCATCTTAACGTAGTTTTTGTCCAAGCTGCCCATCAGTGGAAATGAAGAGAGATGTAGTTGGTGAGCTAAGTCTTTTCCTAAGGAAGCTTCAATAAGCAGTATCATTAAGTATACATTTTTTCATTGGGCTTTCAGTTGTAAGGTAAGAGAGTTCAAATTCAGTTGGATTACTTTTACAATCCCTTCCAGTTTGGGAATTCTTTAATAGTAATGAACATTTATATTATGCATTAAAGACTTTTGCTGAAATAATTTGAAATAATTTCTACTTAAAAAATGATATTGTTAGCGTATTAGTAACATTTGAAGAAACTGAAATGCAAAGGTGCTATATAGCTTTGGGAAAGTTATAAGGTAATAAATAACCAGTCTGTGTTCTTCTTCATTGTGTCCTTTTTTATGACAACTTATATTCGAGGTATTTCAAAACATTTTTAGATTTGTGGTTTGTATGAATTTTAAAAATTTTGGACATTACATAACATTTTATATTTAGGTTAAGACCATCCCCATCCTCTCTACCCTGACTAATGAATGGGTTAGAAATCAGGTTTAGTGGCCAAGCACGGTGGCTCATGCCTGTAATCCCAGCACCTTGGAAGGACAAGGCAGGCGGATCATAAGGTCAGGAGATCGAGACCATCCTGGCTAACACGGTGAAACGCTGTCTCTACTAAAAATACAAAAAATTAGCCGGGCATGGTGGCGGGTGCCTGTAGTCCCAGCCACTTGGGAGGCTGAGGCAGGAGAATGGCGTGAACCCGGGAGGCAGAGCTTGCAGTGAGCCAAGATTGCACCACTGCACTCCAGCCTGGGCAACAGAGCGAGACTCCGTCTCAAAAAAAAAAGAGAAAAAAAAAACCAAGTTTAGCCAGCCCATTGTCTTCATATAAATAATTATTTTTTAAATCTGGCAAATGGTTTTGGAATTCTTTGTGAGGTAATTTTTAGTAACAACTCTCCGTATAGTGAGAGAGCATACGTTCATGACTACTTCTCTGTTTACTTATTCTAACGGACACTGATATTTATTCTACTTGCCACTTCCTTCATTATTATCTCACCTAGCTAGTTATAATAAGCCCTTGCTTTTTCCTTGGTAGCCACATTCTTTCTTGTCTTCTTCCTTAACATAAACCTACACATATGCCATCAGTGGAAAAAGGAAAATTGAAAATTATAACATTAAAAATGAAAAGAAGGATATTTGTTTAACATCTTTTTGGGTTTATCTGTAGTATTCATTTTCAACAATGCATGCCTACGTTAGTGTGTTTGTCTGAAAAATCAATGAGGCCAAGGAGTTGCAGGGATGTTAGAATGTTTTTCTTTACTTCTTAATCTCTATACTCAGGAAACGTTTTTGTTTTAAAAATATTTGTCAATTTGTTTCTACAGCACATTATGTGAAGCACTTTCTCATTCAGGCTATGTATCTTTTCAAGCCTTAACCGTAAGATCATGGATTCGTTGTGTTTTGCAAATGTATATTAAAAACCTCTCTGGGCCTGATGATTTGCTCATAGATAAAAATCTGGAAGAGGCAGTTGGTAAGTAAGTGTACGTTTTTTGGGGAGGATGGGGGTATCTATGGAAAGCTATTTGCTGTCTAGATCATTTGTTATGTAATTAATAGAAAATATACAAAATATTCGTAATTGGGTATGAATACAAGCAGAACTTAATTTCCTTTTGTAGCCTGTTTCCGTTTTTTTGTTTTGTTTTGTTTTTATTTTCCTGTTACTATATATGACAAACTTCTCTGCTATAAAAGATAAAAGAACTTGTTTCCTTGGAAGCCAAGGACAGAAATTTGCTTCTCAGGTGACAAGCTATTTTTTTAAAGAAACTGATCACGAAAAAAGTAGAACTCTGAAGCGAGTAACCAGATATCACACTGTGAACACCCTAAAAAGAAAAATACCCAATTATGAATAATTCTCTCCCATTTTATATTAGATATTTTGCCTTTCTTCTGCTTTACAAGTAGTCATTGAGTGATATCTGTACTTTTTAAAAAATGTCCCATGCAGTTCTGTTGTCTGTAGGACATGTCTTTTCCCAAAGCTATTGTTTGTGGCCACTTGTTATTTTCATGAAGGTTGGCCTGAAAAAAATCCTCCAAATTTATTTTAATATTTTATTATATTAGTTGGTGTTACATGAATAACTTTTGGGGCAAGGATGTTCATAAGTGAGAGAAATTTAATTTGAAGTCCTTGTGTGGAAATTTGAATTTTAAAAGAAAGCATGTCATAAGTGAAGAATACTGTATTACTTCTCATATATACATTATATATATGTTGTATGTGTGGTTATGTATATAGTATGTTATATAAATTGATATAACAAATACTATTTTATTTTAACAGAAAAAGAGTACATGAAACAGTTGGTCAAACTGACAAGATTACTATTTAATCTCTCAGAAGTAAAGAGTATTTTCTCAAAGGCCCAAGTTGAATATTTATCCATCTCAGAAGACCCTAAAAAAGCACTTGTTCGATTCTTTGAGGTATTTGTCATTTATTAGTATAATTGTCCAGATTAATTACAATTAATTTTCAGAAAAACCTGAAGTATTCTTAAAGTTTTTCTATAAAATGAATTCTTATAAATTGAATCATATTATTGATTGCCTGCTATTATAAAGTTCTGGAGGAAGAAAAATGTGAATCTAAGGTATAGTACAATTCACACTTAAGGACAGCAGAAAAATTACATTAATGAAGAATAATAAAACTAAAGAATACCACAAAAAAGCTTTACTCTAAGGCTAATCTAAATTGTAGGAATATTGACACAGTTGCTGGACAACCGCATTGTTCAGATGCTTGGGAACTGAATATCCTTGTAAACATTCCATGATACTCCCACCTTAGTGTTTATCACCCTGTAGCGAACAGTGTAGGCATAAGCACCATCTACTTCGTATGATAGTATAGTTGGAGCATTAAAATCCAATCCATTTGTTTTGTTTTGTTTCCATAATAAACAGTACCATTCAAAATTTTATTTTTAATTATTAATTGTACAGAAATTTATCTATGTGAGAGTGTTTGTTTTGCAAACCTAGTTGTTAATGTGTTTGGATTAGTGTCTTTTGTAAGCTATTAATTGTAAAAGTTGGTTTATTTTCCCACAGAGTGGTTGGTATTAGCTGCAGTGAAAATAATTAAAATCAATAAGCTCTTTCCATAAATGTTAATTCTTCCATTGGTTTCTATTAAGTTAAAGTACAATTGTATGACAATTAGAGATGTCATGCAATCTCTAAAAATATTTGATAATAGTAAATGCAGATGTAAAATACACATTCCATTTGGACCCTTATTTAGTTGTTGATTGGATCTGAACCTGCAATTAAATGCCTGTGGTGTGCTAGGAGCTATAATGGATCAGAAATAGAGCTAGAAATCAAGTTCTTCATTGATAGTTTTCATCTAGCCCAAATTAATTGTTCTTTCACCACTAAGAAAATGAGTTTTTTGCTGAATGCTAGATAATATTATGCTAGAACTTCGTAGGGATTTGAAAAATCAAAAGAAGTAGTTCTTTATCTCAGGTGGCCTTTACTTCTCTGTGGATATAAGACATACACAAAGACTAAAATAGTAACACAAGGCATTATATGCTAAGTGCCAGTTGGTTGACAGATCAATCAGTAGGTAAAGAATTTAAAGCATTTTAGTATAAGAAGTTTGGATTTTATCCTGTGAAGATTGTGAAGGCTTTGTAAGTTTTTAAGTAGATATGATTTGGTTAAATAATTTTTTTAATGAAAATAAGTAACAATAATATAACTTAAAGGTGCAGAGAACTGTTGGCCAAAAGCTAATGAGGTTTAGAAGGAATCAAAGATTGAATGGTTGTGGGATTTCTGAATGGATATGAAATAAATGCTGTGTTTGACTAAAAGAGTGATGATACCTTAAGGAGAAATAGGAACATCATGATTTAGGGTGACAGAGAAGTAGGTGAGGAATTCAGTTTTAAATTTATTCATTTTTAAGTTGTGTCAGGTCTCCCCAAGATTATCCCTCGGTTCTGTGATTCATAGGACTTAGCATATAGTTGTATTCACAGCTATGACTTATTAACAGAGGGATACGAAGCATAATCAGCAAAAGGAAAAGATGCATGAGGAAAAGTCTGAAGAAACCAGGGACAGCTTCCAAGATTCTTTTCCCAGTGAAATTACACAGGATATGCTTAATTCTTTCAGCAAGGAATTGTGACAAGACATGTGAAACACTACCTGCCAGGGAAGTTCCTTAGTGACTCAGTGCCCATGGTTATTATTGGGGACTGGTCACGTATGCCCTCTTTGCCTCATACTTAGAGAATTCCAGTTCCAGAAGGAAAGCAGGTATTCAGCATAAGCCATATTATTTGCATAGACCAGTTTAGGATCAAGGAATTGTAGGAAGCTTTTCAAAATCTAAGACCCCAAATACCAGCCAAGAGCCAGCCTTGCAAGCAGGACATTTTAAGAGTAGCAGTCTTGGGTCTGCTGTATTAACTCTTTTCTGCACAGAAATGATAGTATGACATCTAAGTTATTATTATCAAGGTACCGAGAAATACATGTTTTTTAGGCTAGGGAAGTTAAGCCTAAGCATAGAGCAATATTGAGAAGTCTAAGGCACTGGTGTTCAAAAGTGTAGTCCATAGACCCCTGGGAATTACTGATACCACCTGCTCAAAACAGTATTAATATTTGCACAAATAGTGTAAAATCTTTTACATGAATCAACACTGCGGCCCAAGATTATACTAGTATTCATTATAATTGATACTGCCATGCATTTACAGAAGAAAAAGCCAGTTTCACTTAAGAATATCTTCAATGAAGCAGTAAAATTATTTATTTTATTACGTTTTGACTCTTGAGTACATGTACTTTCAGTATTCCGTGAACGACAATGCAAAGTGCACTTAAAGCACTTTTGCTGCATACCAAAGCAATGTGGTTGCCTAAATGAAAAGCACTTGTGTGATTATTTGAGTTGCAAGCTGAACTGACTGCTTTTATCTTAAAAGAACAACTGACAAAGTATGGTTATTCAGACTTGGCTATTTGGCAGACATTTTCTCAAAAAATGAATGAAGTGAGCCTGTCACTTCAAAGCAAACAACTGACAGTATTTGTTGCTAATAATATAATTCAAGCTTTCAAGAAAATTAGAATTTTGAGAAACTTGTATTTGTCATCGTGATCTTGAGAGCTTCCCGATACTTATTTTCTGATGAGAATGGTGGTGGTATTAGCAGGTGTGATTTTTTTTTCCTGATATAAATAATGAAGTGTGTCAACATTGGGAAGCTGTGTAACTCAGTGAACCACAATTTTCCAAATGACGAATATAGGCTTTTTAAAAAGCATTCATGGATGTAAAAGATTCACTCAAAATACAGGATAGACCAATGGCTTTTAATTTAACAGAATATAAAATGTTTATTGACATGGTTTCAGACACCATGGTTTAGTTACAACTAATCTGTAGGAAATACCACTTGTCAAGTTTTGGTATAATAGCAAAGAGGAATTCTCATGGTTATGTGAAAAATCTTTCAAAATATTTCTTATTCTTCCAGCCACATATATTTTTGAAGCTGTATTTTCTTCATCTGCAGCATACCACAATAAATCATACAGGAGCAGATATAAGAATCAAGCTGTCTTTTATTAAGTCAGGCATAAAAGAGATTTGTAAAAATGTTAAAAAATACTACTTTTCTCACTAAATTTGTTTTTTGTTTGGGAAATAGTCTTTCACTAAAATATGTTACTTACATGTAATGTTCATTATCACTTTTCAATGAATTAATAAATAAAATTTTCTAATATCATAAATATCAATAGATATAACCCAAATAATTAAAAGCTCTTCAAGATCCTCCATTTTTAAGTGTGCAAAAGGGAACAGAGACCAAAGAGTTTGAGAACGTCTAGTCAAGGGAAAGAAGTGTAGAAAACAAAGGGAAGAGAGCTAAATAGAGAGGAATGGGATTAGTCAAGTATATCTCTTGTTCTTATCTGCTAATCTCACAGTCACTCATTTAGGTTCACTGACTTTCTTATCTTTTTCATTTCACATTTTATTGTCAGCATGTCCAACTTTAATGTCACCATGGATGACTTCTATTAAGCTTTCATTTCAAAGCTTCTGTAGTACTCTTTCAGTCTTTCAGTGAAAGAAGTAGTCTTTCACTTCTCCCCTACTTCATCCACCCACTTCCGTGACTAAACCCGGAGCAGTGGAATCTCTTGGAGCATCTGAAAGCTCATTGACTACCATCATCTGTCCTTCCAGCTCATGAGTGACCACACTGTAATCTTCCCCTCTCTGTTATCCTAGGACAACATTCTCCCAAGGCCTCACTTCCTTCCCTATTCACCATAATTAGACCCCTTAGGGCCTTACTTCAGCTACTCTTACCAACATTCTCACAATCTTGAATCTTTTTTCTTTTGGTCACACCTACAAACCCTCAACCTTGGCTCAGTGCAACCACCTCTTCTCTTTCCTTTGTCTTACATGCTGAGTGCTGCAGAAGAAAAATCACAGAACTGTTTGTATTGGTGCAATTCATGGTCCAATTTGGGTCATTGGAATTCATTATAAGTTCTCAAAAATGGTTTGAAAATTTTATTAGTTTACTTAAACTTTCTTTTTATTTTTTTTTTTTTTTTATTTTTTTTTTGAGACAGTCTTGCTCTGTCACCAGGCTGGAGTACAGTGGTGCGATCTTGGCTCACTGCAACCTCCACCTCCTGGGTTCAAGCCATTCTCCTGCCTCAGCCTCCCAAGTAACTATGACTACAGGCACACGCCACCACACCCAGCTAATTTTTGTATTTTTAGTAGAGATGGGGTTTCACCATGTTGGCCAGGATGGTCTCGATCTCTTGACCTCATGATCTGCCCACCTTGGCCTCCCAAACTGCTGGGATTACAGGCGTGAGGAGCCACCGCACCGGCCACTTTCCTTAAACTTTCTAATCCATCTCTTAGCCAGTCTTCTCTTGATTCTTTTGTGACCTTTCACCCCTTGCTTATTCTAACCTTTCCTCAATTTATTCTCTCATTTATTTCCTTTCCTCTTCTTCTCATGTCTCTGTTCTTCTCTTACTGATTCACCTCACATTTCTCTCTACCACTCTCCATTTTGCCATCTCTACCTTCTCTGCCCATCCTTTTTTTTTCCAAGAAGTTAAGCTGGCATCAGATGGCTCATAAAATTCTAGGAAGAAAAGTGAATTCATATAATAAAGCTGAACTTTTTAGAGGTTTTGCTTGTAAAAATTTGGCATTACTTGTAGGTTTTCCTTGTAGGGGAATTTGGGGATTTTGAATTCCTAGTAATCTGGGAAATATGGTGAGCCAACCTGTCTGGAAGTCATGATGTGATTTAGTTACAAGGTATGTGTACATAAGTTTCACATTTTTTTTTCACTGATATTTTGCTAAGTCGGCCCTTCTATAAGTAGTTATTGGTGAGTTTTTAAGATTTCTTCCTTTAACCTTTATTTTAATAATAAAAGACAAGACTTAATTCTTTTTACTTGTGTTTTAATTCCTATGTCTCTTTATTGGAAGGTTACAAATGAAGGCTTAAATGTAAAGGGTATGGGTGCGTATGTAGAAAAAGAGAGAAAAATTATCTTTATGTTCCAAATCTTTATGGTATAAACTTTGGGAAGTTAAATAATGTTTTTCTTTATTTATAGGCTGTTGGTGTAACTTACGGGAACGTCCAGACACTTTCTGATAAATCTGCCATGGTCACAAAGTCCTTGGAATACCTTGGTGAAGTATTAAAATATATTAAGCCTTATTTGGGAAAAAAAGTTTTCAGTGCAGGGCTGCAGCTGACTTATGGAATGATGGGTATGTATTCCTGGCATTATTTTGCTAGTAACATTTCCTTAGGTTGAGCCTATACTATCATGATGGATAGGTATATATTGGCTAAATCACTACCCTCCATACAATCATAAGAGTAATCTGAAATACAGTGATTTAGCTTAAAATAATTCATGTTGGCCTTCAAATGTATCTCTGTCTTGCTCTATCTCTTTTCAATACTTTTGATTGTTTTAATATTAAAATTATGATCAATACAGAAAATATGCTGGCACCAATTGCTTTCAGTAGTCTGTCATGAGTCACATTTCAATACCTGAATAACTAGAATGGACCTTTTTTAAAAAAACGCTTATCTATTGTTAGAATTAAAAACATCAGAAAACTATCGCTTACATCTATTTCTATGCTCTGCTCTGTATGAAGGAGATAGGATTTAATACAGCACTAAAAATATTTATGCTTCAAATCTTGTTTCTCACAATACTCTTCCCTTTTCAAAAAGAAATCATTTTCTATGCCCGTTCTATAACAATGGAGTTTATCTTTCTTTAGGAAGTCAGTGATTAACATATCTTTTTTTCACGAAAACCATGGTGCTAACCAAAACTAGGAATTGGATAAAGGTAAATGAGAAAGATTTCCTTAGAAGTTTTTATATAGAATTTAAGTTTTTTGTTTTTTTCCTTTATTTCTCTGTGGTCAAAACCTTTTATCTGTTCCCTTTAATCTTATGAATGTATGAGTAAGCCTGATTCGGGTTGTCTGAAACCTTTTATCTTTGTTGTAAAAGATAAAGGCGAATGTGAAAATGTGTAAATATAGAAGATGTAAATTACAGGAAAAGCTATAGCAATTCAGGCATCTTAATTTTAGAGAAAAATGTAAGTGAGAATTTATAAGTTTAATAGTAAAATACACATTAATAAATATATTGGCATTCATGCTTATAATTTATTAGTGTCTACAAAAGTTTTCTGTTTCCAGATTTAGATTTTTGCCAAGATAAATGTCTGATATAGACATGGGACAAAATTCTACTTAGGAAAAATTGAAGACTTTCTTTGCTTTGCTGCCTTGTTGATTTTTGTCTCCATGCGCAGATCTGTATTCTTTCCTTTTGTCTAGGTTTCAAAGACTAGGAAGAGTATATTGCTACAGTGTTGCCCATTTATTTGTTAGGAATTAGGATAGGTAACTTAATGATTTCTTCATGTTAAAGGATTAGAATAAAACAGAGAAAGAGCAAAGTATAAACTTTGGAGAGCTCCAAGGTGTTTTAAAATGTGTTGGGGTTGGGATAGCATAACCATTTGAGGGAAGGAGTTAACCACTGAAACACTGTACTCTATTTACCTTGACAGTTCCTAACTGGGGACACCTCTGCTGTTCACTTACAAGGTTGCAAGACTGCTAGTGAAAGGCACAGAACTGTTGATGAAATCACCTTTCATATTAAGGAGAAGGCATCTGTGATCTTAATTGTAGCTCAGTTATTTCTGAAAAGGCATGGTGGATCCATCAACTTCTCTCCTCTGTAGATTTTGTTTTGTTTTGTTTTTCTCATTCTTCATATCTGATAGTTTTCTGTTTCCATGTATAAAGCTTTCAATCATCCCTGTCTCTTTGGCCATTCTTCCCCATTTTGCTTTGTAATTGAAATTCAAGTCATGACCCTTTGGTGCCAAGTGCAAATTTCCCCACTTTTCCCACATTGCCAAGTAGACTTGATCATCTCTCTCATTACACTTCATCTATCCTTTTCTTGTGATATGATATTATTTATAGTTTGCCATTTGTTAAAATTACTTGTGTACTTGACATGCCCCCACCAAATTTCAAACTTGTAGTAGCCATCTCTTGAATTTTTTATTCCCATTGTCATGTATTTTGAACAAAAAAGAACAATTATTATGTATCAGGTGCTGGATTGAGAGTTAGGGATACATTAGTTAAAGAGCTCCAAAGTAGGAGATAGTGTATACTATATAAATATTTATGGAATTTAATGACTTTATTAATCTAGCAATAGTATATATTTTTTAATGTTCTTTTTGTTTTTCTTTGTTGTTGTTGTTTTTGAGACAGAGTCTCCCTCTGTCACCTATGCTGAAGTGCAGTGACGTGATCTCAGCTCACCGCAACCTCTGCCTCTGGGTTTAAACAATTCTCGTGCCTCAGTCTCCTGAGTAGCTGGGACTGCAGATGTGCACCACCATGCCTGGTTAATTTTTGTATTTTTACTACAGACAGGATCTCACTATGTTACCAAAGCTGGTCTTGAACTCCTGGGCTCAAGCAGCCTGCCTGCCTCAGCCTCCCAAAGTGCTGGGATTACAGGTGTGAGCCGCTGTACGCAGCTTTTAATGTTCTTAAATGAACAAAATTACTTTCTAACTATAAAGATTTAAAAATGTATATTGTAGTGATCCCAATTTTTACGTAGGGTAGAAAGTAGGCAAAATACATAGGATAGAAAATACAGAGGATAGAAAATGAGTAAATACTCAAGAGCTTGTATAGTGGTTATCATTGAATGGAGAGATTGTATTAAATTTTTTTGTATTTTCAGTTTTATTTGTTAATAAATAATATATTTATAGCCAGAAAAAGAAAAAAAAAAACTTAGGTTTTTACAAAGGTACTGTATGTATTTAAACCTTTCCCAGTTTTTTACTTTAAAAATCTTTTTATATTTCCATTTTGCATTTTTAATAACACACACACAAATATTCATTGCTGAAACCTAAAAAGTAGGTGTCTGATAGCAAGGAGTAAAACAAATATCTCCACCTTATATGAACTCCTAAAGCTTACAGTCTTCAACAAAGTGTTTCAACCGTTGCAGAAAATGAAATACAGTAGTTTCCCCTTATTCATGAGGGATATGTTCAACACCACTAGTGGATGCCTGAAACCGCAGATAGTACCAATCCTATGTATGCTGTGTTTTTGCCTATACATACATACTTATGATAAGGTTTAATTCATAAATAAGGCACATAAGAGTTTAACATAATAACTAATAATAGTATTAATAGAACAGTTGTGACAATAGACTCTAATAAAAGTTATGTGAACTTTGTGTCTCTCTCTGACTGCCTTCCCCACCCCCTCGTCAAAATATCTTATTGGTATCCTATACCACGGGCAACTAAACTATACCACGTGGTACCCTATATCACCGGTAACTAAACTATACCATGTGGTACCCTATAGCACGGGTAACTAAAACTGTAGAAAGTGAAACATACCTGTATTGCACCTGAGAGTAATAAGAATCATTTCATATGCCAGTGATGATAGCAGTTCCCCTTACAGGTATATTAATGTTTTTAGAATATAAGTTCTTCTAATATTGCTGTCATACTGAAATTCTCCACCAACTGAAGAAATGAGGAGCAAGCCAGCATTATTTAAAACTTTGCTAAGTGAACATTGTTTCTTTATGATTGATTATTGTACTTCCTTTTACAACAAAAGATGAATGTTGCTGTTTGTTCTTAAAAGTGATAATTTGTTGAGTTTTTTTCTTTAACATCAGTATACTTTTCCATAAGCATATTTTGGTTTTCCTTCAGAGCTTAAATTTTAAACTCTTTATTTGATGGAAATGACTTTGAATTTTATCGTTTTTGCTTTCTAGGATGGAATAAAATATAAAAGTTTATGCAGTAGATGTACCACTGTGCTTTTTGGATAAGCATTTAATCTGTTTTTAAATTCATTTTTCAGTAAGGAGACCTCAATAGTAATAATATATCCTAATGGGAATTATATATCTGCTCTTAATTACTTTATTAAACAAAGGGTGCTCATTTGTTAAGCTTTATTATCATCAGATGTGGCAATTAACAGACTTCTAGCACCAAGGAAGCCATAATATATTTCAAGTAGCAAAGAAATCTGTTTCTCTTCATTCAGAATTAAAATTTTGTTTGTTTATATTAAATAATGGAAAGGTGTAAAAACTGAAGTTCATGGAGGTTAACTGAAGTTGGTGGAGGTTAAGTGATTAGCTTATAGCTAATCCTGCTTTCCATGTATTAACAATTAAATTTAATTATACTTCTGTTGCAAACTGGATTGAGGCCACTTACATGTAAGATTAAAATATGAAGAAATAGGGGTACCAACAAATAAATATAGAGTTTCATGGTGAGGCCCAGGGAAAATTAGTATGCATATAAAACCATAATGTATAATCCTACAGTATTCTTTAAAAGGTGGATTGTTAATTTGCATTTGGGCATCCTAGCAACTCAGAGGGAAAGCAGAAAGGGAAATCCTGAATAATTTCAACATTCAGCCAATGTAGTCACATAATGTATAAATATATTCCACTGTATGTGTGAGTGTAAACAGGTTGACTAGCCCTTGTCTAAAATTCTTGGGACTAGAAGTATTTTGGAGTTCAGATTTTTTTGGATTTTGGAATACTTGTAGTATACTTAACCAGTTGAGCACCCCTAATCCAACAGTGTGAAATTTGAAATGGTCTAATGAGCATTTCTTTTGATCATCATGTTGGCACTCACAAACTTTTGGATTTTGGAGCGTTTCAGATTTTATATTTTCAGATTAGGGATACTTAACCAGTGTATATATTAAATGCCAGTTGCTCGGAAAATGTATGTTTTCCTTGGCCCAAAACTCTATGAAAAATTTGTCTCTTTAGTGAAATATATGAATTGACATAAATATTTGTTACTTCTACTATATGTCTCTTCCTATTCCCTACTTTAATTTGGTCCCATGTGCTTTCAATACAAATTTTTAAATTAAGTGACAAAATGTTCTGGTCAGAGGATAACAACAACATGCTGTTACTTCTCTTCTTTGTTAGGAATTCTTGTGAAATCATGGGCACAAATCTTTGCCACTTCTAAAGCCCAAAAATTACTATTCCGGATCATAGATTGTTTACTGCTGCCACATGCAGTATTACAGCAAGAGAAGGAACTGCCTGCACCTATGTTGTCAGCAATTCAGAAAAGTCTTCCTTTGTATCTCCAGGTATAGTATCTGTGGTTGCTTAAAAGTTTAAAAAAAAAATATTGAAACTTTGCCTTAAAAACATAGTTTACTAAATGCAGATTTAAAAACTGTACATTATAATCTCAAATGCTTGTGTGGCACATTTATTGAACATATTTTAAATTGCTTTTATGTTTGGCTTTGGAAACAAAAATGAAAAAGCAGAGGAGCTTAAAGTTGAGAGAGGAGGTAGATGAGCACAGACACTTATGGTAGTGTGCTCAGTATTTTTTTTTTCAGACCTCATCTATTAGACTATGGGTGAGGAGATATAAGAGAATACACTGTAGAGGACATCAGAGGTAAAAGAGCAAAATGGGTAGGAGTTGGAGGGCTTTTCATTTCAGAGGGAGCAACATGTACAAGGGCATGAGCTTTAAGAAAATATAGAATGGTTCTGTTGTGGCTGGAGAGTCATATGGGAGGAGCCATGTAATGGAGGGCTTTATATTCCATCCTAAGAAGTTTGGACTTAATCTTTTACATGGGGACCTGATGAATTTGGAGCAGAGAAGTAGAAGTGACATAATGATATTTACATTTTAGAAAGATGATTCTGGTGGTCATATGTAAGATAATTGGTGTGGAGGTTTTGGAAAGCAGTGGTAACTAGTTCCTTGTAATAATCCACATATTGTCAGAAGGTTTTGACCTAAGGCAGTGGGAATAAAACCCATAACAGCAGATTTCAAAAACATTTGGGAGCTGTGATTAAGAGTACTTGCTAATTGAGTGTTGTGGAGGAACTCAAAGAAGTGAAATGCTTCCTAGATTCCAGAGTGGCTATCTGCGTAGATAGTAGTTCTACTTACTAACGTGGGAAATCCTGGAGATGTCGGGATGAAGGTAAGGATTGGTTTCTGAGCAGCTTTAGTTTGAGGTAGGCAGTTGGAAATATTGATCTGCCATTCAGGAAAGGATGAGACTGGAGGTGTACTTTATTATTCATTAGTGTCTGATGTTAAAGATAAGTGCTTCTTAATTTGAGGTCCAACAAGGGAAGCTGAGGAGGAAAGGGAAAATGGATTTTGATTATGTAACAATCTTTTTTCAAAGATGTATTTCTTAACAGAGTTTTAAGATTCCTGAGAAGTTTTAAATTTTCCCTCTAATTTTTATTCATAATAGCATTTAAAATGAAGTTTAGTGTGTTAATCTAGCAGAATGACAAAAAGGGGAGGCAGCCACACCACAGCCTGAACCGCCAATCCCACAGAGGGAGAGATGAATAGAGGGGAGTGGTGAGCAGCAGGAGAGTCTGGAATATTTCTTCCATGTGGTCCTCTTAAACCCAAACAGTCCATTTAATAAGAATTCTCTTAAGCTTCGTAAGTGGTAAATTTAAAAGTTTGGTGTATTATCTGTTTGGTAGAACTGGAGCTATGTCTTTAATTTCTTCATGGTACCCAGCTCTCCTCTTCGGAATTTTCAGAAAATATTCATTTATTACTTCATCTTCTTCTGATTTAATGTGCTTTTCCTTAAACTACTCAAGAAACAGAGTTGGTGGTGGCGGGTGGGTTGGGGGAGGGGTTCATTGTTTGATTTTTTTCAGTTGTTTATTTGGTACAGTTTTAACAGCTGTATGCTATTTTTCATTACAAATAAACTTTCAGAATTTCTTATTGGGTAAGTACCCGTTTACAACTAAAATGGAGACTTCAAACATTTTAAATTATTTCTCTTGGAAAATACGTTGTGAGTCACCAAGTACCAAATTAAGAGTTAACTTTTATAATATAATGTATTGCTGTGTTGGTGATTATCTATATTTAGTAGCATTTAATATTTACTAATACTAGCAGAAAACATTATTTTCTCTCAGAGTATTGGTTTAAGTATTAAATACTGTAATATATATGAAAGTATTTTGTTAACTGCTATACAAATGTAAGAGATTAAATAAACAGACATGCAACCAGATATCAAGAGTTCTGTGTGACTGTATTAAACTCTTCACTTTTCTAAACCTTAGTTATCCTAGCTGTAAAATGGAGATACAATATTACTAACTCAGTGGTTCTTTGAGAAATTTAAATGAAATAGTGAATATAAAGCACACAGCACAGTGCCTGTTATAGGAAAACTAAGTAAATTGTTATTCCGAGTCTTAATTTCCATATTCCTCGCCCTTTGTTATTACTTTAAAAAAGATTATCAGATTTTTAGCATGGAAGACTTTTAGCAAAAATTGTATAGTCTTAGACAAAATAACCAGTACCTAGAAAAAAATGACCTAAAGGTGTTTTATAACTTTGTAAGTACACATAAATGTAGTTGATGAGCAAGATGTTCAAGTGTTCTGATGATTACAGGAAAAGAATCTGCCTTTGTCTTCCTACTGTTCTCCCCTGCTTCCTTTGTCCACACCTCAGACACACATGCTTAGTTAGATGCCATATCATATGTATTGCCCAGGCTTAACTCCTTGTAATTCGTATGTACATTATCTGTGGATTACGTGAGGTATCCTTTTTGATTTTTATATTCTCACATGATTATTAATGCTGGGGACTTCATTAGTGAGTTTCTAAATATTGTTTGTTCTTTGAAACTTTACCTCTTAGTATTTCTTACTTTTTTTCCTTGTAGGGCATGTGTATCGTGTGTTGTCAATCTCAAAATCCGAATGCCTATTTGAATCAATTGCTAGGGAATGTTATTGAGCAGTATATTGGGCGATTTCTTCCAGCTTCACCATATGTTTCAGATCTTGGACAACATCCTGTTTTGCTGGCATTGAGAAACACAGCCACTATTCCACCAATATCATCTCTAAAGAAATGCATTGTGCAAGTCATAAGGTACATCTAAATATTAAATATAGGTGGTATGTACAAATTATTAAGCTCTATTAAAGTGATAAAGTGGCATTTCAAACATATTGGCAACCCTTAGGATACTAGTAGTTCAGAAGCTTTTTGTTTTCCTGAGAAGCATTATCTAAGATTTTATTAAAATGACATTTGCTTATGGCAGCCTAAGACAATGCTCTTTAAATTCCTTCTCTTTTCTCTATGTAGCTATTACCTTCCTTATATATGTCCTAAAGGTATATTTTTGCTTTTTAGTTTTTCATCAGATAAACAATATTTGTATTTTATACTGTATAAAACACAGTAATTATATTTGGCTGGGTGTGGTGGCTCACACCTATAATCCCAGCCCTTTGGGAGGCAGAGGTGGGTGGATTACTAGAGGTCAGGAGTTCGAGACCAGCCTGGCCATCATGGTGAAACCCAGTCTGTACTAAAAATACAAAAAAATTAGTTGGACATGGTAGCGGATGGCTCTAATCCCAGCTACTCAGGAGGCTGAGGCAGGAGAATTGCTTGAATCTGGGAGGCAGAGGTTGCAGTAAGCTGACATTGTGCCACTGTACTATAGCCTGGGTGACAGAGCGAGACACCATCTCAAAAAAATAAAATACAGTAATTATATTTTATAAAGATAATTAAGTGAAAAAATGAATGCTAATATTGGAAATGAAGCACCCTGAAGTCTTGTTAGTTTAGTCTTAACTCAGTTTTATTAAGCAAATGAAAAACAAAACTTCTTAAATATTCTACTAAGTCTATATCCTTTAACTTTAACATTAGAAAGTTCAGTAATAAAAAATGTTTTGTCATTGCCTTCATGTATTATTTATTTTTATATGAAATTAGCTTTTAAACTTTAAGATGCTATGGTGATGTATGTTATTCTTATCTAGTATTAGTTTTCTGTGTTTTTTAATGACCCAATAATATCTGTTACCTCTCATAGAATTCCATGCCTAAAATCTGTCTCCCCTCTCACCTTTTTGAGTTCTTAGTGTCCTGTTACTCAGGTTTGGAAGCTTTATCTTCTTTGCTTCCTTTCCTTGCCCATCCTTTGGCAATCCTGTCCTCCTTTTCCTATTTCTCTTCCCTTAGTGCATTATACCTAGACTATTGTCAGAATCTCCTGACTGCTTTCTGCATCTCTAGTCTTTTCTTCTAGTCCACCCTAAACAATGCCCCCAGATTACTTTTCCTAAAATACTCTTTCATTATGAAACTTCCCTGCCATTAAACCTGCAATATCTTTTTTGTCCATGAAATAAATTTCATGCTCCTTAGCTCTCTGCAATCCATCACTTACCGTTTCCAAATGTATTACATATGGTGTCATACAACCCCTAATAAGATTCATATTGCCCCTCCAAAATGCCTCATACCTCCCTATGTCACAGCTTTATTCAAATTGCTTTCTCCATTAAAATGTCATTTTTTTGGGCTAAATCCCACGTATCCTTTATAAAACCTACACCTGATATGTCAGTGTACCATGTATGTTTCCTTTTTTGAAATCATATGCCCTGTACAGCTCAATTTGCAGAATTATGATAGTTTTGCCTTACTTGTATCTGAATTTCCAACAGGATTGTAGTAACCTAACACAGTGTTTGAGATATTGCATAAGTAATTATAGTACAAACTAAATGACAGATGCTGAAGTGAAATTGAATCTGTAAAACTGTTTAAAACCCCAGTGTTTAGGATCCCAGAATTAGTTGACTTTCCTATTTACTTAACACACAGTGAAAATGTTTTTCTTGTGGTTTATAGTTGAAGGCTTTTTTTTTAATACTCAGGAAAGATATAGAGATTGTCTTCTATGACTTCTTCCATGCCATGCTTCTCTATTCCTGCACTCCCTCATCTGAGTTAGGGCTCTTTTCTCTGAATTCCTGAGAATTCTGTGCTTATCTTTGTCAAAAGCACCATTATGCTATATTATAATTGTCTTTTTCTTTTTCTCATTTAACTTCTCCACTCCATGGTGGGCCTCTTGCTTTCAGAGACCATATTTTATTCAATTTTATATTCTTGTTCTTAGACATGTACCTGGCATTCCACTGGCGCCCAATATATGTTTGTTCTAGGCATTAGGAATTCAGCAGTAAACAAAATTGGACAAAACCTCAAAGAATGAATTTTCTAATATGTAGTATTTGTTGGAAGTCACTGTAGGGAATAGAAATAATTACTAAGACATAGTTCCTGTCCTTATGTTTATAATACTTAGTGGTTTCTCTTCCTTATGGTTATTATTACTTTGCAAATATATATATATATGGATGTCTAGTTTATATTTAGCTGTATTTGACAGATTTTCACATTGTCTAGACATTTGTAGAAACTAAGCAATTCCAACTTTTATTTATTCACTTAATAAATGTATACTGAACACTTGTTATGGGCCCGGACCTGTTCTAAGAGGTGAGAATATACAAAGATGAGTCAAATTATTATCCTTATGATCGCTCTTGAGTTCTAGTACTAAATTTTGTCTTGTCTTGAGAGATAATGCTAAATCCTAAATTAGTTCTCTGAGTCTTTAACTTGCTGGAGGAAGGAAGGAGATAAAGCTTGAGTGTCCTATCTTATTCCTAGGACAGTCCTCTGTTTGTTTGGAAAAATAAGACTCCTTCCAAGTCCTTAAATAAATAGATATGAAGAGAGATTTCTTTATGCAAATTTGACATTAGAGAAAATGTTGCGGCATTGAGGACCCAATGGAGGAGATCAGACTTGTATTAGAAAGGGAAAAAAAAAACCTGCAAATTAACAGTTAGGCTTTCATTTGGATTTTGAGTTCATTTTAAAACAAGGTTGCTTTCAATTTAGTTTGTGACTATATTGTGCTTTGGCCCTCAGAACACACCAGAAAGATATACAGTCAGTCATTGCTTCTAAAATCCTATGTTTGAAGATAGCATGGTAAAATATACATACTTTATACAAGTGGCACTGTATTAATTTGGGGGGTAAATTTTGCCAATATCTTTAAATTATATGCCATTTGGTCTTGCTCTATTGAAGCTTTAAGCAGAGAATAAACAAATTTTGCTTCTTTTCAGGAAATCCTACCTTGAGTATAAGGGGTCCTCACCTCCTCCTCGCTTAGCATCCATTCTGGCCTTCATCCTCCAACTCTTCAAGGAAACTAACACAGACATTTATGAAGTTGAACTACTCCTCCCTGGCATTTTAAAATGCTTGGTGTTAGTCAGTGAACCACAAGGTTTGTTTGTAAGCTTATTTTTGTTACCATTTTCTTTTTACAAGTTAAGAAACTACTGTTTCCCCTCAATTTAATGGATAGTTACAAAATATATGTGATTCTTTTATATCTCTTGATATGGGTCATGGTTAAAGAATAAACTCCAGCTAGCAGCTCAGATTAGGTATGATAAAATGGTTAAAAACTGAGATGTTTTGGTCCATTTTAGTTTTGGCTTTTTTTCTCCCCTTGAGGCAAATAGTTTATTTAAGGGTTACTTCCCTTGATTAGATTTGTTAACCTCTCAAAGAATATTTGTTCAATTTGACTTCAGTATTAAAGGCAATTTGTTAAATATCAAGTAATGAGAGGTCATCATACTTTTTTTATTCAGGTTTTTGCTGGAATATCTAAGCTGATTTTTGAGGCAAACCGGTAGGGGTCCTTTGATTCTACTCCTTTTGTTTTCAGTCTCATCAGCCTTACTTCCAGTGATTGCTTTAAAATAACATTTATTGGCCTGGCATAATGGCTCACACCTGTAATCCCAGCACTTTGGGATAGAGCTCTTAGGTCAGAATAAATCTCAAGCACTGACCTCAAAGGAGCCTGAATTTGATTAGATTAGTCCTTAAAGCAATTTATGCCCCAGTGTATTACTAAAAACATTAAAACAATCACCCAGAAATTAATTAGTGGAGCTTAACAGCTGAGTGTGATCAGGGAAAGGGACAGTCAAAGAGAGTCCTGCCAAAACCATTGTCTTCACATGGAGACTGTGGGCGTACCTGAGGTTACATCACCTCAGAAGCAATATCTAAGGCAGTGAGAGGGCAAGAGGAGGAGTGGACTTCATTATTTAAAAAGCCCAATTTTCACCAAAAAATTACAGGACATGCAAAGAAACAGACACATACAATCCATATACTGAGAATAAAAGCAGGCCACAGGAACTGCCAGTGAGAGCAGTCAGATATTGTCTTTAACAGACAAAGACTTCAAAGTAACTATTATAAATATAGAACTAAAGGAATGTGTGATAAATGAAGAAAACGAAAGTATGGTGGCAATAGGGAAAGAAATTTTATGAAAAGAACCAAATGGAAATTTTGCTGAGTTGAAAATTTCACCAGAGGGGCCCATTAGTGGATTAGAACTGGCAGAAGAAAGAATTAGCAAACTTGAAAATAGATCAATACAGATCATACAATCTAAAGCACAGAGGACAAAAAAATGAAGAAAATGAACAGAGCTGTTGAGAAATGTGGAACACCATTAAGTGCACCATATATACAACAGGTGAACCAGAAGAAGAGAGAAAGCCAAAAAAATTGAAAATAAAATATAATTTCTAAAATTTTTTCAAGTTTATTCAAGAATATTAACTTATACATTCAGGAAGTTCCACTAACTCCAGGTAAGGTAAATGCAAAAAGATCCACAAACAGATACATTATAGTAAAGATGCCAAAAGCTAAAGGCAAAGAAAATCTTGGAAGTAGCCAGAGAAAAATGACTCATCCTCTACAAGAAACCCCAGTAAGATTAACAGCTGACTTCTCAGAGGAAACTGGGGGCCAGAGACAGTGGGATAGCATTCACAGGAATTAAAGCAGGAGTGTAGAGGGGGACCTGTCAACCAAGAATCTTTTTTCAGCAAAGCTACCTTTCAAAACTGAAGATGAAACAGACCTTCTCAAATAAATTAAAACTGAGAGAATTTGTTGCTAACAGACCCACCTTTTAACAAAATGCTAAAGGAAGTTTTTCAGACTGAGACTGACCCCAGGCAGTAATTTGGATCCACATAACACACAAAAGAATTCTAGTAAAGATTATCATATAATTATTAAGACAGTATAAATTCACATTTTTTCATCTTTATTATCTTAACTGGTTTTTAAAAAGCATTTGTATAAAATAATATTGTTGGGCCTATAACTTATAGAAATATAGTATTTTATCAATAACAATAAAAAGGAGGTGGTGAGAGAAAACAGTATTAGGCTAAGGAAAGGACTCCACATGGCAACTCAAATACCTGGGAATAAATGAAAAAAAAAAAAAAAAAAAACAGAAATGATAAATAAGAAGGTTAATATAGGATGAGTATTCCGTATCCAAAATGCTTGGGAACAGAAGTGTTTTATATATCAGATTCTTTTGGATTTTTGAATATTTGCATATTTATTATGAGGTATCTTAGCAGCAGGACTCAAGTCTAAACATGAAATTCATTTATGTTTCATATATACCTTAAACATGTAGCCTGAAGGTAATTTTTTACAATATTTATAAATAGTATATGCAACTTGTCACATGAAGTCAGGTGTGGAATTTTCCACTTATGGCATCAGGTCAGCTCAAATACTTTCAGATTTGGAAGCATTTGGAATTTTGGATCTTTGGAATGCTGGACCTATATAGCAGAAGTTAAGATATGTATTTGCTGTTCTCTCTTTTCTTAGCTTCTTTGAAAGACATAAATTTATATAAAGTAAAAATTACAACAGTATACTTTTAAGTTTTAACATTTGTAGATATTATATAATAAGTATAACAATACCACAAAAAGGGAGAGAAATAAATAGAGCTATATAGTGCATAGGATTTATGTTTCTGTATTTCACTAGAATTAGTATAAATTTGAAGCTCTGATAAGTTAAGGTATATATGGTTAGCTTAGAGTGACCACAAAGGAAATAGTTCAAAAATAATTAATAATTAAATGGGCTAAATGCCCCGATTAAAAGACACAGGCTGGCAAATTGGATAAAGAGTCAAGATTTATCAATGTGCAGTATTCAAGAGACCCATCTCAATGTGCAAAGGCTCAAAATAAAGGGATTAAGGAAGATTTACCAAGCAAATGGAAAGCAAAAAAAAAAAAATCAGGGGTTGCAGTCCTAGTCTCTGATAAAACAGACTTTAAACCAACAAAGATCAAAAGAGACAAGGCCATTACATAATGGTAAAGGGATCAATGCAACAAGAAGAGCTAACTGTCCTAAATGTATATGCACCCAATACAGGAGCACCCAGATTTATAAAGCAAGTTCTTAGAGACCTACAAAGAGACTTACACTCCCACACAATAATAGTGGGAGACTTTAACACCCCACTGTCAATATTAGATCAATGAGATAGAAAATTAGCAAGGATATCCAGAACTTGAACTCAGCTCTGGACCAAGCAGACCTAATAGACATCTACAGAACTCTCCACCCCAGATCAACAGAATATACATTCTTGTCAGCACCACATCGCACTTATTCTAAAAATGACCACATAATTGGAAGTAAAACACTCCTCAGCAAATGTAAAAGAACAGAAATCACAACAAACTATCTCTCAGACCACAGTGCAGTCCAGTTGGAACTCAGGATTAAGAAACTCACTCAAAACCGCACAACTACATGGAAACTGAACAAGCTGCTCCCGAGTGACTACTGGATAAATAACAAAATGAAGCCAGAAGTAAAGATGTTCTTTGAAACCAGTGAGAACAAAGATATAACGTACCAGAATCTCTGGGACACATTTAAAGCAGTGTGTAGAGGGAAATTTATAGCACTAAATGCCCACAAGAGAAAGCAGAAAGATCTAAAATTGACACCCTAACATCACAATTAAAATAACTAGAGAAGCAAGAGCAAACAAATTCAAAAGCTAGCAGAAGACAAGAAATAACTAAGAGCAGAACTAAAGGAGATAGAGACACAAAAAAACCTTCAAAAAAATCAGTGAATCCAGGAGCTGGTTTTTTGAAAAGATCAACGAAATAGACCACTAGCTAGACTAATTAAGAAGAAAAGAGAGAAGAATCAAATAGATGCAATAAAAAATGATAAAGGGGTTATCACCACCGATCCCACAGAAATACAAACTACCATCGGAGAGTACTATAAAGAACTCTACACAAATAAACTAAAAAATCTAGAAGAAATGGATAAATTCCTAGACACATACATCCTCCCAAGACTAAACCAGGAAGAAGTCGAACATCTGAATAGACCAATAACAGGTATTGAAATTGAGGCAGTAATTAATAGCCTACCAACCAAAAAAAGCCTAGGACCAGACAGATTCACAACTGATTTCTACCAGAGTTACAAGGAGGAGCTGGAAACATTCCTTGTGAAACTATTCCAATCAATAGAAAAAGAGGGAATCCTCCCTAATTCATTTTATGAAGCCAGCATCATCCTGATACTAAAACCTGGCAGAGACACAACAACAAAAAAAAATTTTAGATCAATATCCCTGATGAACATCAATGCAAAAATCCTCAATAAAATACTGGCAAACCGAAGCCAGCAGCACATCAAAAAGCTTATCCACCACGATCAAGTCGGCTTCATCCCTGGGATGCAAGGCTGGTTCAACATATGCAAATCAATAAACATAATCCATCACATAAACAGAACCAATGACAAAAACCACATGATTATCTCAATAGATGCAGAAAAGGCCTTTAACAAAATTCAACAGTACTTCATGCTAACAACTCTCAATAAACTAGGTATTGATGGAACGTGTCTCAAAATAATAAGAGCTGTTTATGACAGACCCACAGCCAATATCGTACTGAATGGACAAAAACTGGAAACATTCCCTTTGAAAACTGGCATAAGACAAGGATACCCTCTCTCATCACTCCTCTTCAACATAGTGTTGGAAGTTCTGGCCAGGACAGTCAGGCAAGAGAAAGCCATAAAGCGTATTCAGTTAGGAAAAGAGGAAGTCAAATTGTCTTTGTTTGCAGATGACATGATTGTATATTTAGGAAACCCCATCGTCTCAGTCCAAAATCTCCTTAAGCTGATAAGCCACTTCAGCAAAGTCTCAGGATACAAAATCAGTGTGCAGAAATCACAAGCATTCCTATACACCAATAACAGACAGAGAGACAAATCATGAGTGAACTCCCATTCACAATTGCTACAGAGGGAATAAAATACCTAGGCATCTAACTTACACGGGATGTGAAGGACCTCTTCAAGGAGAACTACAAACCACTGCTCAACAAAATAAAATAAAAGAGGACACAAACAAATGGAAGAACATTCCATACTCATGGATAGGAGGAATCAATATCGTGAAAATGGCCATACTCCCCAAAGTATAGATTCAATGCTATTCCCATCAAGCTACCACTGACTTTCTTCACAGAACTGGAAAAAAAACTATTTTAAATTTCATATGGAACCAAAAAAAAGTGTGCATAGCCGAGATAATCCTAAGCAAAAAGAACAAAGCAGGAGGCTACTTTGTCACGCTACCTGACTTCAAACGATACTAGAAGGCTACAGTAATCAAAACAGCATGGTACTGGTACCAACACAGATGTCCAGACCAATGGAACAGAGCAGAGGCCTCAGAAATAACATCACACATCTACAACCATCTGATCTTTGACAAACCTGACACAAGCAATGGGGAAAGGATTCCCTATTGAATAAATGGTGCTGGGAAAACTGGCTAGCCATATTCAGAAAACTGAAACTGGATCCATTCCTTACACCTTACACAAAAATTAACTCAAGATGGATTAAAGACTTAAACGTAAGACCTAAAACCATAAAAACCCTAGAATAAAATCTAGGCAGTATCATTCAGGACATGGGGATGGGCAAAGACTTCATGACTAAAACACCAAAAGCAACGGCAACAAAAGCCAAATATATAAATGGGATCTAATTAAAGAGCTTCTGCATAGCAAAAGAAACTATCAGCAGAGTGAACAGGCAACCTACAGAATGAGAGAAAATTTTTGCAATCCATCTGGCAAAGGGCTAATATCCAGAATCTACAAAGAACTTAAACAAATTTACAAGAAACAAACAACCCCGTCAAAAAATGGGCGAAGGATATGAACAGACACTTCTCAAAAGAAGACATTTATGCAGCCAAAAAACTTACGAAAAAATGCTCATCATCACTGGTCATTAGAGAAATGCAAATCAAAACCACAATGAGATACCATCTCACACCAGTTAGAATGGTGATCATTAAAAAGTCAGGAAACAACAGATGCTGGAGAGGATGTGGAGAAATAGGAACACTTTCACACTGTTGGGAGTGTGAATTAGTTCAACCATTGTGGAAGACAGTGTGGCAATTCCTCAAGGATCTAGAACTAGAAATACCATTTGATGCAACAATCTCATTACTGGGTATATACCCAAAGGATTATAAATCATTCTACTAAAAAGACACATGTACACATATGTTTATTGCAGTACTGTTTACAATAGCGAAGTCTATTGTGAAGTCATCAATACTTGGAACCAACCCAAATGCCCATCAATGATAGACTGAATAAAGAAAATGTGACATATATACACCATGGAATACTATGCAGCCATAAAAAAGGATGAGTTCATGTCCTTTGCAGGGACGTGGGTGAAACTGGAAACCATCATTCTCAGCAAACTAACACAAGAAGAGAAAACCAAACACCGCGTGTTCTCACTTATAAGTGGGAGTTGAACAATGAGTACACATGGACACAGGGAGGGGAACATCACACACCGGGGCCTGTCAGGAGGTGGGGGACTGGGGGAGGGAGAGCATTAGGAGAAATGCCTAATGTAAATGACAAGTTAATGGGTGCAGCAAACCAACATGGCACATGTATACATATGTAACAAACCTGCACGTTGTGCACATGTACCCCAGAACTTATAGTAATAATAACAATTTAAAAATTTGGAAGACTACGTTAAAAAATATTCACTTAATGTAGTAAGAAAACAGTAAAGGAGATTAAAGAAACAAACACGAGTCATTAAGAAAACAAAAAGTAAAATTGCTGATGTAAATCAAACTATATCAGTAATAATACCATGTGAAAGGATTGACCAGTCCAATGAAAAGGCAGAGATGATCACAATGGATTCTTAAAAAAACAAGATCTACCCATATGGTATTTACAGGAAACACTATAGATTCACAGATATAAATAGATTGAAAGTAAAAGGATGGGAAAAGATAGTTGTGCAAACAGCAACCACAGAAAGCTTAAGTGACTATACTAATAGCTCCATATGAATTACTAATTTATATGGAATTACAGGGGACCCAGAATAGCCAAATCAATCTTGGAAAAAGAAGAAGAAAGCTGGAAAACGCATACTTCTTGATTTCAAAACATGTTACAAAGCAACAGTAATCAAGACAGTGTGATAGTGGCATAAAGATAGATATGTAGGTCAATAGAATAGAATTAAGCGTTCAGAGATAAACCCATGTTTATGGTCAACTGGGGTTTTTTTGTTTGTTGACAAGAGTGCCAAGACAATTTAATTGGGGAAAAGTAGTCTTTTCAACAAATTTTGCTAGGTCAGATAGCCACATGCGAAAGAATGAAGTTGGACCCTTGTTTCCTACCACATACGAAAACTAACCTAAAATGAACCATAGACCTAAGTGTCAGAGCTAAAATTGTAAAAGTCATTGAAGAAAATATAGGAAAAAAATCTTCATGACCTCGAATTTGGCAACAGATTCTTAGCTATGGCACTAAAAGCATGAACCACAGAAGAGATAAATTGGACTTCATCAAGAATTAGGAGCTTTTGTGTTTCAAAGGACACTGTTAAGAAAGTGAAAAGACAACCCACAAAATGGGAAAAAATACTTGTAAATTATATGTGATAAGGAGTGTGCATCTATAATATATAAATAACTCTTAAGAATAAGTGGACAAATAACTGAATTTAAAAATTGGCAATGAATCTGAATAGGCATTTCTACAAAGAAAATAAACGGCCAATAAGCACCAGAAAAGGTGTTCAACATCATTAGTCACCAGGGAAATGCATATCAAAACTACCCCGAGATATCACTTCATACCCACAAGGTTGGCTATAATGAGGGAGTCAGATAATGAAAAAGATTGGGGAAGATGTGGAGAAATTGGAACTCTCATTTAATGCCATTGGGAATGTAAAATCATGTTGCTACTTTGGATAATAGTCCAGTAGTTCCTCAAGCGGTTAAATATGGAGTTACTGTATGACCCAGCAATTTCACCCCTAGATATATATATATATTTAAGAGAAATGAACAAATATGTCCACACAGAAACTTGTAAATTAATTTTTATAGCAGTATTGTTTATTATAGCCAAAAAGTAGAATACTCATCGTTTGATGGATCAATTTAAAAATTTTGATATATTTATACAATGGAATATTGTTTGGCTATAAAAAAGCATGAAGTACTGAAACATGCTATAACATTGATGAATCTTGAAAACATTATTCTCAGTGAAAGAAGCCAGTCACAAAAGTCACATATTATTTCATTTATTTGAAATATCCAGAATAGTTAAATCTATAGAGACAGGTCTAGGCATGGTGGCTTACGCCTGTAATTCCTGCAATTTGGGAGGCTGAGGCAGGTGAATCACTTGAGGTCAGGATTTCGAGACCTGCCTGGCCAATACGGTGAAACCACATCTTTTCTAAAAATACAAAATTAGCCGGGCGTGGTGGCATGCACTTGTAATCCCAGTTACTCGGGAGGCTGAGGCAGGAGAATTGCTTGAACCCGGGAGGCAGAGGTTGCAATGAGCTGAGATCATGCCACTGCACTCCAGCCTGGGCAACAGAGGGAGAGTCCGTCTCAAAAAAAAAAAAAAAAAAAAAAAAAGATCTGTAGAGACAGAAAGTAGGTTAAGGGATTGCTTAGAAGGAATCGGGATAGCTAAAGAGTGTGGAATTTCTTTTCAAGATATTGAAAATATTGTAAAATTGTGATGATGGTTGTACAACTCTGAATATACTAAAAGCCATCGAACAGTATACTTTAAATGGGTAAACTATATAGTATGTGAATTATATGACAATAAAGCTCTTCTTTTAAGAAATAAAAAGGCCAGGTGTGGTGGCTCACACATGTAATCCCAGTGCTTTGGGACGCCAAGGTGGGAGGATCACTTGAGACTAGGAGTTCGAGGCCAGCCTGGGCAACATAGCGAGACCTCCATCTCTACAAAAAGCTTTTTTAAAAAATTAGCCAGGCATGCTGGCATGCACCTGTAGTCCTAGCTACTTGAGAGGCTGAGGTGGGAGGATGGCTTGAGCCCAGGAGATGGAAGTTAGAGTGAGCTATCATCACACCACTTCTCTAGCCTGGGTGACAGAGCAAGACTCTGCCTCTTAAAAAAAAAAAAAAGAAAATACTCATTTTTTTTAAAAAAAAAAAGGTAGTTCAGTTAAAGAAAAAAGAAACTGCATCTAAAATGAGAAGTTATTTTAAAAAGTTGTAAAAAGTTTTCAAGTAAAAGGCAAGGATGCTGTGTGTTCCTTAGCCACGAGCCTCATCGCATGGAAAACATTCTCTACTACCTAATATTCATTATGTTCATGTTCATCATATATTTTGTGCTCCTGCTATAATTTAGGGTTACAGTTTCTGAACTTTTTTTTATTCTTGGAAAAAGCACTTTTTTCTCTGGTTTCTTATATTTAATGTGTCAAAAACAACATAAGAATTTAGTAGCATTCAGAACATATTGGGTTTTCTACATCCTTTCTTGGTATTTTTGCATTATTTTTGTGTACAAGCACACAATTTTAAAGGATTTAGTTAAATATTTAAAGAATGTAAGTATTCTTTTTATACTTTATTATCCTTTGAAAGGAAGATAGCATCACAAACAACATTTTGCATACATATTTGGCTAATTTTAAGTGAAAAGAAATTGTTCACGGTATCTAGTTTGCTACTTACATGTTTGTGAGGGGGTGGGAGGAATATGCTTATGAATTTTTAAAAAATCAATCTGCCTGTCTGTAAATCAGCTGAATTTGTAAAGGCTTTCTTTTGTCGGTATGTTACTGTTTGTAGGATTAGGATGGTGTAACTTTTTTGAATATGGGCACCTTTCTAAGAGAAAAATAGGTCTTCATGTATTATTTCAGACTAAAAAGTAGACTTTTAAACTTTTATATTTTCTTAAAATGGAAGATAGGTATACTTTAGAATAAAACAAAAACTTAGAACTATTTCATTTTGAAAAATAGAAAAAGGATGTACATACTTTAAGAAAACAACATATTTTTCTAAATCAAGAGTGTTCATAAAAATGAGGATCCAGATGGTCAATTCAGACACAGTGCCTAATGCTGTAATTTTTCCTTCTAGTTAAAAGGCTGGCCACAGAGAACCTGCAATACATGGTAAAAGCCTGCCAAGTGGGGTCAGAAGAAGAACCTTCCTCCCAGCTGACTTCTGTGTTTAGGTAACTGGAAAATATGCCACCTGGCAAGGAAACTATTGCCAGCCATTTGACAGCCAACATGTTTTTTAAATAACTAATTATCCAAAACATAATGTGTTACTACTTGTTTATAGTATTTCAATTATTGTATTTTTGGCAGTAGTTTTGTTACACTGTGATGTTTTATTGAAAAATAAAAGTGCCAGTGAAAAAGATAAGTGAGGGGACTTAAAATTACCTGTGAATTTAGTGAGGAAGAATCTTGCATGAACAGTCATGTGTCTCTTAACGATAGGGATAAGTTCTGAGAAATGTATAGTTAGCCAGTTTCACCATTGTGTGACCATCAAATAGAGTGTACTTATACAAACCTAGGTGCTATAGCCCACTCTGCACCTAAGCTATATGGTATGGCCTAATGGTCCTAGGCTGCAAATCAGTATAACATGTCTCTGCACTGAATGCTGTAGGCAGTTGTAACACAGTGGTAAATATTTGTGTATCTAAATGTATCCAAACATAGAAAAGGTACAGTAAAAATGCAGTATTTTAATCTTATTGTACTGAACTACCATTGTACATGCTATCTGTCATTGACTGAAATGTCATTACGTGGTCCTAGACTGGGTTTGAGAGAGTAAAGTGGGAAATGTGAGTCATGATGACAGGTACACAGGCCTTCAGACCTTGCTAAACATGTTCCGCTGGATCCATTGTAGAAGTACATGTCACTGCTTTTCTGACTTGCTTTAGTATACTAACTGTAGCTTCAGAAAGCTCCGTTATGTTTAATTTGTGAAGCATGGACTTTATAGAAGTAGATCTATTGTTCATAAGAATAACAGTGCAACTTGAGGCATATTTTCTTTTTCTTCCCTGTCTTGTTCCCTTTAGAGTCTTGTGCTGTTAGGGCAATACGTTTTTGTATTTCTTTCTGAAGATTTCTTCCAGTTCACCTTTATTATTCCTATCTCTGCCTTACCACTACCATGAGAAATAATTTGCGTTCGTTTCCTTCATTCTATGTTGGATCTTTGATACCTCCATTTTTCTCATCACATAATTAGTGCCTGTCAAGTGTTTATAGTTTATTTAAATTGTGATCAGTCAGTAACAATGGATTTGTGAAAATTGTGAAGCCCTAGGAGGGGAGAAAAGGATTTTCTATGATCAAAGATTGAATGTTATCTATAATTTACTAAGCGAGGTGGCTTTTCATTTTGTTGATTGGTAGTGGAGGGTAGAGGTTTTAAGGCTAAATATAGAATTTTTATTTATAAAGACCTTCTATGGGTCTAAAGTCTTTTATTCAGTTAAGGAACATAAAATATATTAGGAATAACTTGCTTTCCTCATAAAAATATTGTTTGACTTATATAGAGCTACAAAGAACTAAAAAATAACTAGGAAATCTGACTTTTTTCTGTTACTGTCTCCCATATCCTTTCCACTCAGATTCAATATGTAGAATATTGCAAAAAAGTCCCGGGATTAGATTTTTACCCCTTCTTCTCCCTCCCAAGCTTCCAACTCTTCCCTTCCCTGCTCCTCCCCACAGTGCTTTCACTCTGGTCATGGCTCAACTTAAATAAGCCACTTCAATTCTTTATTTTAAAGTGTTTTAAATAGTTTTCATATTGCATCCAGATTCTTACAGTAAACTTTTATGAAATGATCTTTGTTATGTTCAGTTCATAGTTGATTGCCACGTAGATACCAACACAAGGAATTGCCCCAGGAGTAATCCTAAATAAACCTGTTTTACTTTCAGGCAGTTTATCCAGGATTATGGTATGAGGTACTATTACCAGGTTTACAGCATTTTAGAAACAGTAGCAACATTGGACCAGCAGGTTGTCATCCACTTGATTTCTACCCTTACTCAGTCTCTGAAGGATTCAGAGCAGAAATGGGGCCTTGGCAGGAATATAGCACAAAGGTATGTTTGATAATTTAATTACATTGGGGGGGGCAGTGATTATAAAATTTATATTTCATTTTATAGAAATGATTTATTTTCTTATTCCCCAAAATTTGGGTATGTTCTTTTGAGATGAAAAATGTTTCAGTACTGTGATTATCAGTTTTACAAAGTGTGAATAGAAGTAGCATGGCTCATCAGCAAACTTAGCAAAATCAATACATAAATTTGCATGTTTTTCCTTTCAAAGTGACCGCTTTAGAAAGCTGTATATTTCAGCAGTGCTGCTGTTGCTCAAAACGCATTTCAGTGTTCCTCATTGGGAAGTGGACTTCATAGCCTTGGATGTCTTGTTTTTTAATAAAATTTATGGTGGCAAATCATAACCGTTTGAGGGATGCTTGATTTATTTAGTCAACTGTATCATGTGTATCTAGTGAATAAGTGACCCAATTAGACAGTATAGGTTTTGGTCAAAAATAGGAAATAAGACTTTTTTTTAATAGGCTCATAACTCAACTGAAAATAGTGCTGGACTATTTAGAGTCTCAACATTGTGGGAATAAGCCTATATTTATTTCTTAAAGAAATTGTTTTAGAGTAGTCAGTACTCACAGTGGAATTTTTGTGTCCTAAAGGTTATTAAAGAATCAAAATACAGTTATGTGTTGCTTAACGACAGGGATAAGTTCTAAGAAATGTGTAGTTAGGCGATTTCATCATTTGTGAACATCAAATAGAGTATATTTACACAAACCTAGATGGAATAGCCTATACCACACACCTAGGCAATGTGGTGTGGCCTATTGCTCCTAGGCTACAAACTTGTATAACATGTTACTGTAGTGAATACTATAGACAGTTGTAACTTATGGTAAGTATTTGTGTATCTAAATATATGAAAACATAGTACAGTAATTATATGGTAGCAAAGATTTTAAAATGGTATACCTATATAGGGCACTTACCGTGAGTGCAGCTTGCAGGACTAGTAGTTGCTCTGGGTGGGTCGGCGAGTGAGTGGTGATAAATGTGAAGGCCTAGGCCATTACTGTACACTATTGTAGTAGACATTATAAACATAATACATTTAGAGTACATTAGTTATTTCTAAAATTTTTAGTTTTTCAATAATACATTAACCTTAGCTTACTCTTTTTTACCTTTTAAACTTTTTCTTTTTTTAACTTTTTTACTCTTGTAAAAAAGCTTAACACACACATTGTATAGCTGTACAAAAATATTTTCTTTCTTTATATTCTTGAATAAGCTTTTTTCTATTTTTAAATTATTTTTTATTTTTAAACTATTTTGTAAAAAATGAAGACACACACGCATTAGCCTGAGCCTACACAGGGTCAGGATGATCAACATCACTGTCTTCCACCTCTACATCTTACTTCACTGGAAGGTCTTCAGGGTCAGTAACGCACATGGAGCTGTCGTCTCCTGCAATAAGGAAGCCTTCTTCTGGAATACCTCCTGAAGGACCTGCCTGAGTCTGTTTTACAGTTAACTTTTATTTTTATAAGTATAAAGAGGAGTACACTCTAAAATAACAATAAAAAGTAAAGTATAGTAAATACATAAACCAGTAACATTCTTTCTTATTATCAAGTATTATATACTATGTATAGTTGTGTGTGCTAGACTTTTATATGACTGACAGTACAATAGGTTTGTTTATACCTGCATCACCACAAACAACACGAGTAAGGCATTACACTAAGACATTACAATGGCTACAACATCACCAGGCATTAGGAATTTTTCAGTACCATTATAATCTTAATGGGATCCATCATTGACCAAAATGCAGCCCATCATTGACCAAAATGTTTTTAATGTAGTGCATGACTATAATCATATGCATGTGTGTCTGTTTATCTGTACAAATACACACTCTAATGAATATGCATATTCCAATTTTTAGACAAAAATTTTTTATTAAACAATATATGAGATCTTTCTTGAAGACATGACTATGTTGATTATAGCTTTAGCTAACTAATGGAATCCATTTTTTCAATGCCATTTCATATAAAAGGCAGGGGGTGCGGACTGGAGAGATCATCCTTGTAAAGCTTTTGTATGCCAGAATGGAACATCTCCTTTCTTCTGCATGGTGACTTGGCTAGCCTCCTGTGGTTTTCTAAGGAGAGAAGATTGAATCACTTCAAATTGTAGCTTGAAGAAATGGTGTTTATTGTCATGTCACAAAACAAGCTCATGCACAGACATGTCTCACATCTGGCTTCTCTGAGCAGTCTTCAAATTTGAGTGAAAAAACTAGAGAGGCTGTGTGTGAACCACCCTAATGCAGTATGTTGTTAAAACAAATATTCTGGCCTACTACCTTGTGTGGTTATGCAGGCCCATAAGAAGTTTGGTTCTAAAGATTCTGAACAGAACAGGTATTTAGACTAGTGAGATAACTACTAGGCACAATAAATCATCTAAAACACCTTCCAAATACAGGGAAGTACTAGAGAATGTAGGAGGAGAAACAATATTTTATTTTCAAACTTTGTTACTTATAAGAAGTTAAAAGAAGAAAATGGGATATATACTGAAATTGCTACACAGGTCTATTTTATGGTTACAGAATTTTTGTTTTAATACTTACGCTTGTGATACAAGTCTTCCCATTGTAATCATACCATCATTGTCCTTAAATAATATTCCATGAATGCATTTTATTACCCGTGAGCATTATAATATTTCGGAAGGTTAATGAACTTTTACATGTCATTTTTAGCACACATTTTATATATAAAAATCATACTTTAATACATCTTAACATCTAGGTTTACTCACAATAGATATAAAGCATTACTTTTTAAGAAGTGTTGTGCTAAGCCTGCTGGATGGATGGCTGAATAGATGGATGGATGGATGATGGGCAGACTTAATTTGTAAATACTGAAATGAAAAATAATGAAAATGTTAATATATTTGCTTTCTTTTCTTTTTTCTTAAACAGGGAAGCCTATAGCAAACTTTTGTCTCACCTTGGACAGATGGGACAAGATGAGATGCAGAGACTGGAAAATGATAATACTTAATATATTTTGTGATTCATCCTGTCTATTAATTATCAGTATCTAAAGCCACATTGTTCCACTCTAATTCCTACTTTTAATTAATTGTATAATGTTCTGTTTAAAATAATTTCTAGGATTTTTTTTCCTTTTATATCTGTAAGTAAAAAATGTATAAATAAGGAACTGAAGGTTAATTAGCAACTGTGTAATAGGATCCTTGGAACTTTTTACAAAACTGCATTCTACCTTGATGAAATTTTAGTTAAACTAAATTAAAGAAACATTTTCTGAGAGTGTTTTCTGTGTGTGAGTATTAAGCAGATACTTCATCCATAGACTTTTTGTTGTAGTATGACTTCCTGCCTCCCTGCCTTGTGACTGATTTGTCATGTTTATTTTTTATTTTTACAATAATAGTTATGTTTTAAAATGATACTTTTTCAAAGTACCTGGCTACCCTATACTGTGTTTTTGGTGGGGGAAAGGTGTTGGGAAATGTGACTGTGTATTTGTTTTTCTTTTTTATATGTGTGAGGCAAGTTAACAAAGAAAACCCTTACAAAGCACACTTAACTGTGTTAGGAATGAGACTGAATCTGGCTAAAGGATTATACAGCTGATATCCAAAAAGAAGTGTAAACATGCCAACAGGGTTTATATTTAGGTTCCAAGAGTTGCCAAATTTTTTTTTTATTCATCCTTTCTTTTGGAGTTGTCATTAAAAAAAAAATCATATCAGGAGGAGGAAATAAAGGAGACTTTAAGAGGAGAGTAAATAAAAATATTCTAGAAAAGTAACAATAGTAGTGGTCTGAGAAGTCAGCTGATCCATCTTCTTGCTCTTTAGCCAGAGCTTCTTATAACTTAGCATTTTATCCAAGAAACCTGTTTAGTTTCCTTTAACAACATTGTTTCTCAACTTTTGAACTCTTAACTCATCCAGATTGTTTTACCAGTTGGAGCTTGTCCTTGACTCCTTTTCCTATTGAGCATTATTTGGTTGAAAGAGCTCCAGTCCTAGTTTTGGGAACCCACCTGGGTCTCAAACTCAGCTTTGCTTTATGATCTTGAGCTAGTTACGTAACCTTTCTCAGTCTAGTTTCTTCATGGAGAAGAAAAGAAGAATCCCTTTACTATTTGACAGTGTTGTTGTGAGAATCAATGGGATAATGTACGTGAAAATATTTGGTGGCCCAAATTCTGTTGGGAAATGTACAGACACGATTAGTTTATTACTCGTGCACAATTAAGGCAAAGAACACCTCTCAATTTTATCTTTCTCTAATGATATGTCCCAGATGAATGATCCCACTTTCCAATGTTTTCTTACATCATGTTTTCTAACTTTGAAGTACTTTGTTTCCTTCTTGGGATTATAGTCTTTATCATGGTTCTACTCTTCCTTCAAGAAAACATTTCAACCCTTCTCTGGCTCAAGGAGTATCTTTAAAAATGAAATACTTTGCAATCAGTATTCTGTAGTTAATAGCGTTCTCTTAATTATAATCTGTGAAATCCAAAGGAGTGTCTGTTATTTTCATAACATATAAATGGTCCTTCTCTCAAATCAGCTTCATCAAAGGGAATAAATGAAAGCTTAAGGCTGTTTAATAGACTTCATAACACTGAATTTCTTTTCATCATGATAGTGACTTACTAAACAAATAATGTATGGCTTGGAAAGTTCCAGCAGTCACTAAGGAGTTTTATCTATTTAAGGTGATGCCTTTAAAGAGGTTATTTATGTGTATATGTGTTTTTGTGTGTGTGTGTGTGTGTGTGTGTGTGTGTGTGTGTGTGTGGGTTTTTTTTTTCCAAAGGAGATTGATAAAGATACCTTTGAGAATCTTGCTCCTTAGAGTATGAAAACGTTTAAAGGATAGGAAAAGCTGCTACTGAATCATGCTTTAGGACATATATCTATAGATACTAAGAATAACTAAAATTTGTACTTAAGAATGGTAACAACAAAGTGTGTAACAATATGTGTGTGTATTATATGTTTTGTATTTATGTATAAGTAACTTTTTTTAAAGCTTTTTTTTAAATTGAAAAAAGAAGAAAATTTATGGCTCAGTTCCTTTTTTTTAAAATCTTCACTGATCCTTCACTTATTACTACAATCTTGCCCTCTTTCATTCCCAGACTTGGAGTCCCTTATACCTGCTTCTTTAATAGCCACTTTCCCTAAATACCCTGTAATTTCTGAGGCTGCTGCTTCTACCAGTGTAATACAAGCCATTGTCTTTTGGTCAAATCTGAGTTTGTTCTCCTTTCTCATGTTCTTTGTCCTCTCTGTGACAATTGTATTTTCTTTTATCTTCCCATCATTTCCACAATGGTACTGCTCCTTCCTACATATACAGTTGACCCTTGAGCAACACAAGTTTGAACTGTGCAGGTCCACTTATATGTGGATCTAAAATACAGTATTTGTGGGATGCAAAATCTGAGTATATGGAGGACCAACTTTTTGTAGAGGCAGGTTCCTCAGGGTTAACTGCAGGACTTGAGTAAGTGCAGATTATGGTATGCACAGGGGATCCTGGAACCAGTCCCCAGACCAAAAATGACCACTGTATCTTGAGAGCACCTTCATGGTCTTCTTTCCTGTCCCCAGTCGTAAGATACGACCCTTCATCTGCTTTGTCTCAACATTCTGTTAGTGGTGAACTGATAACTCCAGCTTTTCTCTCTCTTTTTTTTTTTTTTTTTTTTTTTGTTGTTGTTGTTGTTGTTGTTTTGAGGCAGAGTCTTGCTCTGTCGCCCAGGCTGGAGTGCAGTGGCACGATCTCGGCTCACTGCAAGCTCTGCCTCCCGGGTTCACGCCATTCTCCTGCCTCAGCCTCCCAAGTAGCTGGGACTACAGGTGCCCGCCACCACGCCCGGCTAATTTTTTTTGTATTTTTAGTAGAGACGGGGTTTCACCATGTTGGGCTCGATCTCCTGACCTCATGATCCGCCCGCCTCGGCCTCCCAAAGTGCTGGGATTACAGGCGTGATGAGCCACCTAGTGCTAATTCATCTCTAAACCTCTGTAGTTGGAGTCTCCTGAAATCTCAGACTACCTCCTGCTTTCATTTTCTACCCAGGGAATACACTATTGTCCTAAGTTATTTAGCCTTGAAATGTCAGAGGCATTTTAGGTTCTTCATGTTTCTCCCACTTTCAGTTGATTACCATTACAGGATCTTAGGCTTCTTTTTATCTTTTTGCAGTGCCTTGCATCCACTGGTTGTTTGTTTTTTCTGTTGGGCACTACTTATTTCCTTACCTCTGGTTTCTTCTCCTACAGCTTATGTTCTGAAATGTGTATTCCTAAAATACTGTTTTCCTCTTGTTACTTTTCTGCTCGAGGACTTCCAGTAACTTACCATTGTTTATAAGGTGATGTTCAAACCCTTCAGTCTGGAGACTTTCTGCCACCTATCTGACTGTACCTTTATCTTCAAGCTTATCTCTTTCCAAACAAGAGGCTCATTTAGCAGCTTTCTCTGATTGCCATGTTCATCCTACACTCAGCCTCATTCAGTTTACAGCATGGAAACTGTATAGGACCTCTTTCCTATAGAAATTGAAGACACTTAAATAGGAAGAAAATTAAAATATACATTTGGATACATGAGTATTCCAGTCAAATAATATCTATAAAATACCAGATAGAGTATAAAAGACAACTGAAGGACAACAGAGTGATGAAAGGACTTTATTAGGCATTTGGATTTGGTTATGATTTAAATTTCAATTTAATTAGAACGTTTCCATGGCAAGGAAGGAAGCATGGAGGACTGTGGAAAAGTCATTCAGTATTGAGTTCATTTGCATTAGAGGAATTTCATAGTTTAAAACTTGTATATCTTTACCTATCCTTCGTATGTTTTCTTCTTAAGCATATTTGACTTTTTCTACCTCAGCATCTGTATAAGAAAATATTTGTGAGTCAGATGTTTGTGGGTTTTCCTTACCTATTATTATTTTCTTCCATGCTTTACAACACATTTTTTAAACTACCTTGTTCTTAAATAATTACACGGACCTGCTTCTGTGTACTTTCACAGAATCTTTGACAGTTAAAAATTGTATGTTATATAAAAATTTGACAAGCTTCTACAGTTAGGAAAAGCCTTTAGAAATCTGCCTTCCCCAAACCGTATGTTATCATAGCACTCATGTCTCCCCATGTCTAAAAGGTAAATAGATACAGAAACCTCACCAAAAGTTGAATCATCTGTACTAAACCACTGCTTTTTTATCCAGACTTTTTATATAAATCTTTTATTTTCCAAAAAACTGATCTTTTACCTACCCCTCTTAGAGTTAAAAATATTGCCTGTCAGGCAAGAGTATAGTATGCCAATATAAATAATATGCTTTATTTGGTTAGAAACAGTTGGTTTGGGAAGCTAGCAACATAGCATATTCTTTACAAATTTAATAAGGTGTATTTTGATACTGTGATAACCTGCATTGTAAATTACCAAATGGTTGGAATTGACCAGTTTATACTTATTAAAATTTTTGATGTGCCAATGGCTATCCAATTCATTGCATTTGTGAATTGTGCTTTTAGAAAAATTGTGGACATTTTAGTTTTATATACATATTTATGAGTTATTTGTGCATATGATAAAATTATATATAATAATAAAAGTATATATGTAACTTACATTGTGCCCTTGATTATTGAAAACTTCCTTTTTATAACAGATTCACTGTTTGGAAGCTAAAGTAAAAATGAGCCATGTTACCAGAAGTAATAATTTCTATCTTATTACTGATGTTTTTATACTTTGTGGTAAAACTATGGAAAGTTAGGTTTTCAGATGCTGTGGTAGCTGAAAGAGTTTGATGTACATGTGGTTAAAGTGTGAAGAAAATATGAAGGAAAAAGTATGAAAAGTACCCTAGTCATTACCTAATTGCTATTTTGTTTTTAAGGATCTAAGAAGTGTTATTGCATTGTACAGATTATTTTAGAAATTCACATCTTTGCTGGCTTTTCCTTTAACACCAAGAATATCTGTTATCATCTGTTTGGTACTGTGTTTTGTTTCCTCTTTTAAAGTAAAATATTGAAGTGATATTTAAATGTTTGCAAGTCTCATGACCTTCCTATAGAAATTCACATTAGTATAATAATTTACATTACAAATACAATATAGCCTTTAATTTTGAAGAGTAAAAATGGAAATGGAAGATGAATTACTATAGTGTAGTTCACTTAAATCGAAAATGTATATTTGAATAGTTTCAGTGAAATTTGGCTCATATGACCATAGTTTAATAGAATTCTTATTTCTATTATTGATAACCTTGAATAAAAGGATCTAATTATAAGTTATCTAGGTTTTTTCCCTTTTAGGGAAGAGATGTTATGTTTTTGTACTACTCTTGGCTATAGCTGTAAAGGATGTGTCTGAACCTGGTAAAACTTTTTAAAATTCTGAGTTCAGTTCTGTAATATTAATGAATATTACATTATAAAGATCACTTAGGAGGGGTTTAATATATGCTGATTTGTTTTATATGAATTGTTAGAAATATATACAGAAATAAGGGTAGTTTCAGGCTACCTTTCAGGCTATTATTAGTTGGGCAAGCTTATTTTTAGAGCTTTTCCCTTTCATTGGTTGGATGTAGGGCCTGGGAATACAAATAGATTTTAATAGTTTTACTAGGTAAAACTGCTAGAGAGAAAATTCATGTCCCAAGTAGAAAAATTAATATAGCTGAATACTTAAGTCCTTGTTGAAAAGTTTTCTGAAATACTGGAGTTCATTTTCCTGCCTTGGTAAGGCATTTTTAAAATTTAGTTTAGATGGCTTAAACCATTTAAAGAAGCTGTCTTCATTGTAAATATCAATTGTCAATATCAATTTTCACTGTTCAGAACTGTCCAAATACTCTTAAGGTTTGTCTATACTAAATTCCTATTCTTTTTAAAATTTACCTGTTTTCCTTCTCCCTAGTCCCCTTTCCTGCCCTTTAAATCTGAATAACCAGAAGCCATATATTCAATGTTTTATGTATTTTCAATGTTTTGTGTATAACGATATATGAAGTTAGTGAATTCTGTAAGACAAAAAGATCGTTTTTATTCACTTTTGATTACAAAAAAAGGTTACATGAATAAAATAACAATTTCCTTTAAGAGAGGGATTCCTGAATGATTAAACTGCCAAGGAAAAAAGAGTGAATTCTTCCTTTTAATAAAGGTGACCTAGGTCCTGAGGAAGTTAGGAAAAAAGAAAAACTCACATTATACTTGTTAAATTTGTTTTCAAATGTGATTATTAAGTTGTTGTATTTATTTTTTGTTATAGACAAAGCAAACCCAAAAACTAGTCTAAAAAAGAATTCCTATGCATTATTAAAAGAGATAGTAATAAAATATGTATTGGTGGTGAAGAATTCCACAAGCACTCAAGATTGACATAACCTTTAACAAAGTGGAAAAACTTTTATTAGAACTGCCAATTCTAGGTTCAAATTTATGTCAAAGCACTTTATGGTACCATAATTAGTACAACTAAATTATTTTTTAGCTTTAAATGTCATTTTTCACTAAATGATTTTAAATAAGACATCTGAGAGTTACTTGAGGCAAGTTTAGATACCTGTACAAGTTTAGATTTTGAGAAACTCCCTATTTCCTCATTGTGTGTCTCTTTCACATGCTTTTTAGAATCATTTATTCCACAACATGTTTCCAAATTCTATCTAGTAATTTTTAAACTTCAAAAATAATCTCCCTGTTCAATTACAAGGTTCTAAAGACAATAAAATACCTTATAATTTCAGTAACAACATTTTTCTTTTTCTTGGGCAAAGTATTACAAAGTGTTCGCCTAATCCTCATAATGTTCTTTTAAATTAACGTGGAAATCAGTAATTATCCTCCTTAAAAGGTGGGAAAACTGAAGCACTGTAAAGTTAGGTTCTGACCCAAGGTCAGAGTAACCAAGGTGAAAAATCTGGGTATTTCAACAACTGCTGTTCCAGTGTATGTCTATTATTATTCGTATCACCTTGAATAAAATATGGCATTTAAAAATTTATGATGTCATAATGCTGAGTGAGTCTCTACTGAGCAGGGCTGCATAATGTTAAATTTTAAAAAGAAAAATTACAAGCCCGGCTTTAAATAATAAAGGGATTAAGTACAGAATATATATATTTTTAAGATCATCGATGCCATTGTGTCCAATAAATTGCCTTACTAACAGTGTTATGTTGTCTTAAGACAGTGCTGATTAGAAAAAGTGTACAAAGAATGCTCTAAAGACCCATGGAACACAATATACCTTAAATTGGCACTAAGCTATACCACAATAAAAGTCATACATATTGAATGTTGACATACACTGAGAAGGGTGACGAGTTTTCAATAACGTATTTTAGAAAATTGTTCATTTTTTGCTTAAATTTATCCGAATATAAGACCTATAAAGCAAGACAAGGAAGCATGGAGCACTGAGTCTTTTCATGCCCAGTATCCAACAGTCAGAGCTATGTTTTCCTCCTGTTCATGATGGCTTGGCTTTTCAGATGGTGCCAATCCTGTGATGAGGCACTTGAAGAGTTTGAAGGTTAGGGCATGTAAAATATGGAGCTGGAAGGAAGCATGCTGCTATTCCATTGGAAGCAAAAGGGAGTGTAGGCCCATAGAATACTTCTTCTTTGCCTTCTCTGCTTACATCCAGTACCTACAAAAGAGGAAGAGAAGAAGCTTGTGTATCAAAGATGACTGCTCAAAATAAAGCTATGTATACATAAAAGAAATTCTGAACTTAAATTCAGTTATGTCACCATCACCATATCTTAGGAATTCTTTTTCTTGCTTGGATGGTACTAGAAATATTTATTAAGCTCCTACTAAATGCTACACTATGTTAGTATGTTTTTGGATGTACATATATACATACATGTATATTTATAAGCATTTAATCTTCAGAACAATTATGAGGTAGGTAGCATTACTTCATTTAAGAAAACTGCCTTAGACAAGTTAAATAACTTGCCCAAACTAGTTAGTAGGCAGTCTGACATAATGTTGGCTTAAACATCCTCATCTGTGAAATGAAGAAAACAAGACCTTGCAGCTTTGTTGTGAAAATTGATGACATCTAGCTCAGTGTCTGGCAGGTAGTGGAATATAACACAGCTTAGTAGCAAATTCAAAATTCAGTCGATTCTGGAAGGTTTTCCCCAGTTCTTTCCTGTTCATGCTGGAGTTTTTTTGTTTGTTTTGTTTGTTTTTGGGGTTTTTTTGTTGTTTTTGTTTTTGTTTTTGTTTTGAGACAGGGTCTTGCTCTGTCACCTAGGCTGGAGTGCAGTGGTGCTCACTGTAGCCTTGATCTCTTGGGCTCAAGCAATCCTCCTGCCTCACCCTCCTGAGTGGCCAGGACCACAGGTGCACACCACCACGCCTAGCTAATCTGTAAATTTTCTGTAGTGATGGGCTCTCGCCATGTTGTGCAGCCTGCTCTCAAACTCCTGGGCTCAAGCAATCCTTCCACCTCAGCCTCCCGAAGTGCTGGGATTATAAGTGTAAGCCACTGTGCCTGGCCTCTCTCTTCTTATATAGCACAGCCTCTGTTAGTCAGTGCCTGCTGTCTCCTAACTGAACCTGGCTGAATCTTTGAAGCAGGAAAATTCTTTCTTCAGGAGAGCTGCTCTCGCCCCATTTGTCAAACCTATTAGGCTCTTTCAAGTCTGCAGTTATCATCTTGATCCCTTTTCATTTGACTTTTCTCTAACTATTTAAACATTTGCCTCCCGTGGATTTGGTGTTTTAAAAAAATGAAAGTTTGTCATTGACATTATCATATTGCAATCCACCTTGAGTCCCTTTTCCTTCATCTGCATCCTGGACGTAGGTGTTTCCCAATATTTCAATCACAGACCTCTTTGTACGCGTCTTTAATGATCTAGTCCACTCTCATGCCTTCATCTATCACCTGTGTGGATAAATCTTAAGACTTTAACTGCAATAGGCTGGGCGCGGTGGCTGATGCCTGTAATCTCAGGACTTCGGGAGTCAGGCAGGTGGATCACGAGCCCAGGAGATCGAGACCATCCTGGCTAACATGGTGAAACCCTGTCTCTACTAAAAATACAAAAAATTAGCCAGGCGTGGTGGCGGCTGCCTGTAGTCCCAGCTACTCGGGAGGCTGAGGCAGGAGAATGGCTTGAACCCAGGAGGCAGAGCTTGCAGTGAGCCAAGATCGCGCCACTGCACTCCAGCCTGGGCGACAGAGTGATACTCCGTCTGGGGGAAAAAAAAAGACTTTAACTTCAACAACGCATTATTTTACAGGAAATGGGCCCTTGAAATTTGGGGATCCATGTTTCACAAAGGAGGAAATTACTAAGAAGTCCTAGAATAAAAGAAAGAACAAACAAGTGGAGATTAGATGTCCCAATCTCTTTATTGAACAATATACCCTGTCACTACTAATTTAAAATAACTCACTCATATACTAAATACAAACGTTTTCTCTGTTCTCTTGTTAATTGATGTATTTTCTTTCAGTGTCACATTTACAGTTGTTTTGACTAGGTAAGGCAAGACTCCTCATTTATTTTCAAAATTTTCTTGATTATTCTTACTCATTTACTTTCCTAGAGAATCTTTCAAGATTAGTTTGACAAGTATCACTACTTCGCCCCATGAGAAAAGGGAAAACCCCGGTGGGGTTTTGGCTAGTATTTCATTAAATACAAAAAGTAAATCAGAGGTCATTTAGTATTTACCACAACTCTATAAGGTTAAGTATTGTCTTCAATTTACAGAGAAGAAAATTGATACCGGAAAAAATTAAGTGACTTTCTCAGGGTCACACGGCAAGTGGTGGAGCCAGTATTTGAGCTCAAGACGCAACCCAGAAAGAGCAAGGATTTTGTGCCCTCCCTCCTGACTGAAAACATTTTTAGAAGGCAAAATACTAATGAGATAATCATCCAGAGAGCTTTTGTCTGGTTTCCTGGGCCAACAGAGACTGCATATGTTAAGCAGATGTAATGTATTTAATCTGAGAAGGGAAAAGGAAGCATTGGCAGTTTTTCTCCAAAACACTCCCCTGTAAACTGGCTGAAAGAAGGCGTTTGGGAGAGTGTGGTGCCAAGCTGGCACTGTATCCTCCAGCCAAAAAAAATAATAGTAAATGAAGATAACAGTAGAGGTGATCTAGAAACACAGACTAATCACTTGCACACTTACGCAGCTGCTCCTTTATGTGCCACTTGTCATCCATGGCACACAAGATTAGAGTCAAACCTCTGTGACAGACATTAGTTTACACACCCACTAAATAAACAAGAACACCTTCACTTTCGTCAGTAATCTATTTCCATTATTTTCCATGAGTGTTTGTTTATTACTAACAAGTCCAAATCTCAACCTAAGAGTATCTCTGCTTTTCTCTTGTTTGGGTTGTCCTTCTGATGGATAAATAGTCTGTGCTAAATCAGAGTAGTAGCAGGAAATAAAGTATGCTTTTTCAACATTGGACATGCTTCATCCCACTGTGGTTGAATCCTACAAATCACAGTTAAATGAGCTTGGATTAGGGTCCAGAAGGGACAGTTAAGTGAGAAGTTATTGGCTGGTACTTTTGAGGGCAAAAAAAAATTAGTACTTCCAAATGTTAATAGAACAATCTCAGAACTATTTAAGTATGACTTCCATTAATCAGCCATGCTCTTGGATTAATGATTTGTGGATTAATCTTGGATCAAATATACAGATTTGTGACTGACGACACAAAAAATTTAAACCTTTATATTTTTAGTATGCATATGATTTTTTCCCCACTATGCTTCTGTACTTCTCAACCCACTGACATACTTAGGAATTTCCACTGTTAAGCATTTTCTCATAAATATTATTCCAGTCTCCCATCATCTTGCCTCTGTTGGATGTTCTTTAAGTAGTAAAGAAGTGGCCTACTTTTGAACATGTAGCTATTCTCTCCAACCATCAATTTAATTTATTACTGTTAGTGTATTGAAACCAATTGTTCTATCGTCATCCATAACATAAAAAAATGGAGCTTTAGTTCAGAATGAATGGTAATATAGCCTGTAACTAGCTGTCATTAACTAAAATGAAAGATACATGTCACTATCCATGAATACCTCTATTTCAAACATCTCTTTAAGTGATAATCCATATGCTTATAGGGATACTTATTACCTATTAATAGTAAAGGCTCTTAATAACAAATCGTCCAGATGCAGTGGCTCACGCCTGTAATCCCAGCACTTTGGGAGGCCGAGGTGGGCAGTTCAGGAGTTTGAGACCAGCCTGGCCAGCATGGTGAAACCCCGTGTCTACTAAAAAATACAAAAAATTAGCTGGGCATGGTGGCACATGCCTGAAATCCCAGTTACTCAGGAGGCTGAGGCAGGAGAATGACTTGAACCCAGGAGGCAGAAGTTGCAGTGAGCCAAGATCACGCCACTGCACTCCAGCCTGGGTGACAGAGCAAGACACTCTCAGGAAAAAAAAAAAAAAAAAAAAAAATTAACAAATTTGTCTGTGCTTTGTAGGACCAGTGTGCCAGCCAAAGGAATAAACGCAGTATTTGCCAAAGGATTGATTCTGTTCATCAGAATGGCTACTGGAACACAGAAATACCCATCATGCTGACTTTTATTTAAAAGCAAATATATTAGAATATATTATTGTACAATCTCAGAGGTGAAACTTATTCCACTAATACAGGTGTTGACTTAAAAAAATAATTGAATCCCCTTTGATAATCACCATAATCCTGAGGATACTCTCAAATATCCTCAGTGGTTTAAAATATGCATTTGTTTACCTCTTCATTTCTTGTGGATAGATTTGTTTGAAAACAGCCAAATGTCATTAGCAATTAATTAGTGTATATGATTAGTGATCATTTACAGAAAAATTCTTTGGTGACAAAAAACAAATGATGCGACTACGAAGTTTTTTTTATTTAAGTTTCTATGTCTTACAAACTAACATTCACGACTGTTAACAAAATATGAGATGTGGAAAAAATGTGCACTATGGCAGCACTCTGATCTCCTAAACTTGATACGTACAGCATTTTCTTTATTTCCTCATTATGTTATGATTTCCACTAATTTTCTATTCCTTGAGCTAATCTGATACTAAAACTAGTAGAAATATGCTCATAAATGTATTTAAAATTTACAATTTTATTTCATGATAAACCCAAACTTACTTCCATTGTGCAAGTGATCAAATGAAGGGTCCCAAAGCCATTTAAAAAACAGTGTTCCAGCACTATAGAGAACTGTTGCCCAGTTCTGAGTTCTACCAATTCTGAAAAGCAAAAAATAAAAAGAAACCTAAAAGACTATGAAGGACTACCAAATACATGCTTGGATGAAGACTAGAAGCACTCTTTGAGAGAAAAGTTTGTTCATTTGTTGTTATCCGAAAGACAGGACGAAGCTCTAGTCCAAGGCAGCTTTCCATTAACTAACTAAAACCAGTACAAGGCAGCCTTCAGTGAACTCCCTTAAAGTCTTATGTGGCTCTTCATGTGTGTGTGGCTTTGATAATTCTTTTCTCCTGTATTATTGTTTCCCAGTTTATTAATTTTCTCTCATCTTTATCATCTCTCCTCTTCTACTTTCTTTGAGATTACTTTTTGGTTCATTTTCTAACTTATGAAGCTATATCTCACAAGCTTTGCTGTATATTGTTTTTATTATCACAGTTCTGGGAATTTTTTTGAGTTCCATTATGATTTCTTCTTTAACCCATAAGTTATATAGCAATGTGTTTTATTATTTCCAGTTATGTAGGGGTTTTTTTTTGTTAAGTTCTAACTTAATTGCATTGTATTAGAGATACATAATACTAAACAATACTTAATTTTTTTAACTAAAGTTTTCTTAACCCTAACCCTAGTACATGACTGGTTTTTGTAAATGTTCCATGTATGCTAAGAAAAATACAGTCTTTCCAACTGCTCAGTCAGAACCCATATCCATTCAGACAAGCTTGTTAATTATATTTTCCATATCTACCTTACCCTTGCTGACTTTTTTAACTTCATCTATATGAATAATAGAAGTACTTTAAATTCCCCAGACAAACCTCTGTCAAGACAAATCAAGAGAAGAAGAGACAATATTATGAATGTAAAGGGAGATATAACTAAGGATAACACAACAACTATATGCTAGCAATTTTGAAAACTTAGACAACATGGAATTTTCTTCAAAATATATGTACTTTATGAGATGTGACTGAAAAAGAAATAAAAAGGTTGAACAGTTCTGCAACTATTAAAGATATTGATGCAGTTGTTAAAAATCTTCCCATAAAGATGCGATTAGATAATAAAAGTAGTTATAAGGATATACTTTTCTGGAGGTCAGGAAGAAAGGTCAGGGCTAATACATGTCAATATTTTATCAGAGAACATGTAAAAGAGAAAACTATGGTAATAACTGTAAAATAATAATAGGAATAATACTATGAATGTGTCTATCAATGAGGGCTATTGCTCTTCTGAAAGGCCCAGCTGGCAACTTGCCCAGCCTGGGCTGCTCATATGCTGATGCACCAGGGCTATTCTTTGGGACAGAGGCTGTCCCTATCAGACCAGTCATAAACCACTACTGCTCACAGCCTCTGCCGTGAAGGAAGAACACCCTTGTAGGTGGCATTTGTGGGAATGAATGAACTGTAATATAGAAAATAAGGCAATGGTGTGGAAAGGAAGTATTTGTAAAGCTTGGGGGATATGAAGGAACTATTGCCAAAGATTTTTAGAATTTTTTGGTTTATGAGAAAGGGAACGCTATCCCAGTTTCCCAGTTTCCAATATATATTACATATATTTTTCAAAATTCATCCTCATTTTTATTTTTAATAGGGCTCAATAATTTATTTAGGCATCATTTTTAGGATACAGGATGAAGTTTAGTGGCTGAACTAGTTGCACAAAAAACGGGACGTTAAGCCTCTTTCTAAACATAAATATCTCTTTCTTCAGTAGCAGCATTGCAAAATGTAACCTCGCTGAACCACTTGAACAAACTTCAAAAGGAACTTCTACCACTCACCTGGATACAAGCCAGAGGCTCATTTGTCCAAATTGAATATCCACCAACTAAATATATTCTCCCATTATGGACAGCAACTCCAGATTCATTTTGGCCTAAAGTAAAGAGAATTGAATAAAAAGAAAAAAAATCCATTTCTTACATATTTTAATTAACCCTTTTGCCACTGAGGGATACAATTTTCCTTTGTGGCACATTTGTATACTCCATGGGATTTTTGCAGCAACTAATCACTGCCTCCCAGTACTCAGAAAAATTAAGCACTATTTCTCAGAGAATGAATCTGTCAGGTCAGAACCAGGCCAAAACACTTATTAGCCAGCCAAGTTAGTAAGTACAGCATTAAATACAGCAATAGTAAGCCATGTAGAACTGAATTCTATGCTATGTCACATGCCATTAATTTACAGTGGTGGAAATAAGGTATATTATAGAAATGCAAACACCTCTTCTATACCCGCAAATGCTTTTTAGACAAGTGCTTACATTTGTAAAGTAACAGCTGCAACCCCAAGAAGCCAATAAAGCAGAGCCATGCCCCTAGCATGCCCCAAATGAAGACAAATGGCAGAAGAGATTGATCAACTTGCTACCCTACCTTTCTTTACATACCCAACATTTTAAAGATTATATTAAAGTTCCTGAGCTGGGACCAGCCTGGATAATCCCTAGATGCTGACACGCCAAAATGATGAAAGGTTTCCCCTCCCATTTCAAAAAGAAGACAGAATAACTCACTACCACATATTCTTCCCTGGAGGCCATCACAGAGTGAAAGAGTCTCTTTTTATTGATGGGCTGACACAGGATTGACTGGGGTAATAAATAAGCTGGATCTTACAGCAGGCAGAATCACAGATCCAGAATCGAGGGCCTAAGGTACCGCTAAAACTCAGAGAGTTTCTAAGTCCTTGTCCAGTGGGCCTCAAAAATCATTTTGCAAAAACAGGAGCTCAATACAAGCATCTAAACCTCTGATTAGATTCCCAGCGTTGCCTCCCCCAGCAGCAGCTGCAAGGGATTGAGTGCCCACTCAGCATATTAAAATGTCTTAACCCAACCTACCATTTTCAGTTTGTGATTTTTCCTATTATTTGAGCAGACATGGAAGGGATCTGATCACTTGTAGATGTTAACAATGCAAGCTGACAAGGGGGAAAAGTTATTCACTCCATAAAGAAACATGAGGGGTAAGTTGTTCACCGTGTTACTTTCATCCTTTTTTGGGATGAGGAAGGTCCATACCTAATGTTGCTCTGTGGTAAATGCTTGGATGGGTATTTGTGGCCAAAAATGCAGCTAAACTCCTGTGTACAGAACCACTTAAGGGTTTCATTTCTAGGAGAATACTCACAGAAACAATACTTGACAGTGACAAATAATGAAGACCATGCTCCTAAACTCCTGAACTCACAAGAAATAAGACTAAAAGCAGTGAGAAGTAAACAATAAATTCCTTCTGTAAAGAGTTATTAAATCCTTCAGTGTCTGGTTCCTCCTACTTGTATCAGAGTTCCATCTTAACACTGATGGATGATAATGGACTTGACATGCCTCTCAGCCATATGAGGATGTGCATAATGGTAGTAATATAGGCCCTGAGAAACTAGATGCTCAGCTACCTAAATGAGTCCAGTTCTGTTAGAACATAAATGATACACACCTTTCTGGTTAATAAATGCAGGTTCTTCTACAACTATGCACTTAATATTTAGTGATGCCCTAAAGATGTCTATGAAACAAGTTTGGTGACTTCTTGAATCTACTTTTCCTGATTTACTTAATCAAAGGTACTTGCCAGTCAGCAGGTTGAAATTACAACGTGTCCACTGGTCAGTGTCTATGTTGTAAGAATCTATATGGCGCACAAGGATCCGGTCATTATTGTAGTCTAGGTCATTGCCTCCAAGAACATAAAGCTTCCTTTGTACAGCAGCCATGGAATGGTAGACCCTTCTCTGCAGCATGGGGCTACGGCTTATCCACTTATTCTGAAAAAAGAAATTTAAGTGTATTCTGTTAGTAGGAGACCTCCATGTCAGAAAACAGCAACGAGTGCCTCATAAGTAGTGAGAACCCTAATGTTTATCAATCAATAGATCAACATTCTGTTTGAATGTTGTTTATATATATTGAAAGGTATGGGCTTCTTACATGAGAACAAGTACAAAAGAGCCACATATTCCAATTGTTTTTGCGATTTACACACGGCATCTCCTCTAGTTTGTGTTGCATTTTATAGTGCATTTTGAATTACATCAGGGGAACATTGAAATTTTCATGATGTTTATCTCACCCAATTCAGAGAATTTACTCATGCAAATTCATTAAGAGTGAAAGCACATGGCTAGGTATACTATATACAGTGGTGCAATGATTAAGAAAATAGTTTCTGGATCCAGACTACCTGGGTTTATAACTTGTATGTGATCTTGAGCAATTTACTTAATATCTCTGTGCCAGTTTTCTCATCTGTAAAATGGGGATAATAATGCCTACCTGATAAGCCTATTGTGAAGATTAAATGAGCTAATACACATAAAGCACTTAGAAAAATGCACATGAAAAATGTTCAATACATATTCATTTTTTCAAAATGATGTGATGATAATCATTGGGTACCTCAGGCCGCTAGATAAGCTAGGGTAATGGTTTTGCTGTTCTTTCCAAAATTAACCTCCTGAGATCAGTGGAAGAGCTAAGATTTGGTTCAGCAACAAACCACCCACATTTCCTTTTATCAGCCTCCTTTAATATATTAACAGTCACATCTTTTGCCAAATTGGGAAAGGTTATTTCTAGGCACACATTTATTTGTTTTGGTGGAAGACTAAGTTTTGTTTTGTTTTGTTTTGTTTTGTATTTGAGACAGAGTCTTGCTCTGTTGCCCAGGCTGGAGTGCAGTGACATGATCTCGGCTCACTGCAACCTCCGCCTCCCAGGTTCAAGTCGATTCTTCTGCCTCATCCTCCCGAGTAGCTGGGATTACAGGCAAGTGCCACCAAACCTGGCTGATTTTTGTATTTTTAGTGAAGACGGGGTTTCACCATGTTGGCCAGGCTGGTCACAAACTCCTGACCTCAGGTGATCCACCCACCTCGGCCTCCCAAAGTGCTGGGATTATAGGTGTGAACCACCGCACCCTGCTGGAAGACTTTTTTATATGATAACTTTAGGGAATAGTGAAACCTTCAATATTTGGTTCCTGTTCACCCTCAGTAATGGGAAGAGTATGCCCAACCTTTCTTAAAATAAGGCTCTCATTGTAAAATTAAATGAAGACCAAATATGACTTTAATTTTAAATCTCAACTAAGTAATGGACAGATAAGTAAAGAAAGTAATGGACAGGTAAATAACCCTAACAGTTTTCTTTCTACATAAACACTAAGCATACAGGAAGAACCCAGATTCCTTTTTGCCAAGAAAAATTTGGATTTCGGCCAGAAAAAAAGTCATACGATGTTTTGAATACATAGAATTTCACCATTTCACAAAACTGTAAGGGAAGAAGCAAGACACAACAACAATAAACATTTTGTATAAAAATTGGTCCACTCACTAATAGGCATATAGACTAGCTCTTTTAAAGATACACTCAAGAAAAGAAGTGATTTGTACAGCTTGAAAAGCTTGCATTTATCTGTTCCCCCATTTGAACATATAATAAGAATTTCCTTCCAATCAAATGTCTTCTTTAATAAAATAGTCAAGCCTGCCTTTCAGCTATTTTGCTAATATCTATAATACATTACACATGAATGTATTTAACTCAAAACTCTGAGGACGCTTTTCTTAGGTGTTTTCTATGAAACAACCCATTACAGTATTAGGAATCAATGTTTGCATTAGCAGTCCAGTCCCCTGCCACCAGACTATGGACGCCATCTGGTTTGCAAAGCCTGCCTGCATCCCCTGATTATATCTTTAGCTTCCTTCACTGCAGTGCCTGCCAGGTGAGCCACCAACCGCTGCAAAGGCAAAGAAACAGAGAGGCCTGGTGGGGTCATTCCTAATAAGCTAGCATGTGAATACTAATCAGTGGTGGGGAAGCAGAGGTCACCCCAGCCTGCCTGTTGGCAGGTAGCAATGTGCTCTGTGGCAGATGGCAGGCATTATCGACTCTCCACAAAGGCCTAGAAGAGAAATAAGCACCAGGGCTGAATGATAGAGTTATTGAGATTCTGAGCAAGATGCAAGCAGATGTGATGTTTGCCAGTACCCACCGTAAACAATATGCCAGCAGAATTTTTTAAAAGAGCATGTGTGTACAAACATGAAACAGAACTCATTTGAGAAATGTTAACACCTTCTTCCTCTTTAACCACATGTGCACCAAACTCAAGCAACTGCAATTAACGATCCCTCTTGAGACAGCTGACCCATGGACATTTGGTCTCTGAAATCTACAGCTTCTAATGACATCAGGAAACACACTTTGCAAAGAGAGAAATGCCTTCATTAAATACAGAATCAAGTAATTGCTAAAATAAAAAGATACCAAATACACTGAGTCCACTAGGGACATAGATTTGGTGGCCAGTCCCAACCCAGACTGCCAAAGCCAACCTGTTGTGTCATATCCCATTACATTCAGCTGATGAATATTAAGCCTACAAATCATTTTGGAATACCGTCATAATCAAAAATATTTACATTACCAAAATCATAGAAATGGCAAAATTCAGCAGGCAATTGCCAAGGTTCATCCATATTTTAGTATATGGAAAAGAGAATAAAAATATTTCTTTTGGGGGAAAATAGTAATTGGGTGTACATGAAATGTAGACAAAAGAAGGTACAGGCACCATCCATATGCATATTCAACCCCCAGCTGTTAGATGAAAACCCTTCAGATACTTCTCATCTCTCAGATTCTTCATATACTTCTACTTTAGACTTGTCCTAGATACTGTTTTAGGTCATTTGGGCTATATTAAGTTAATACTTGTTTTTTAGAATAAACCATAAGCATGATCCCCTCCTAGAATGGCAGCCCCTTCCAGAAGGACGTTACAACAGGACAATTCAAATCATTTCTATATTATGCAGAACTCTGAAAGGGTGATGTATTCTGTATAGCACAAAACTAGAGGAGCTGAAATGTTTTGAGTAACAAAACAAAAAAAGGAACCAAAAAGCAGTTTATTCAGATGCTTCCTTTTCTCTATATAAGCTAAAGATGCATATCTGTGTGTGTACACTTGGCATTCCAATTACTAATTACTCTGGAATCTTTTAAAATTCATTAATTAAGATAATGAGGTGTTCTTACATGATTCTTACCTGGTTAGGTTCATACACCATTAGCCTGTTCTGATATTGTGCCGTATTAGTTACTCCACCTGTAATGGATTAACATGTGTTAGAGCTTTTCATGAATAAAAAATAGGATATTCCAACATAAGAATGAGATACAATTAAAGGAGAATTAGCTACTGCTGAGGATCTGTTTGTATACCCTCATGGTGAGCCCATGACATAATTAAGAAGCTTATTGTTGAAGCAGTTTCATTTTCAAGAAACATTTCAGAAGCAATCCAGTTAAGAGCAAGCAACAAGTATGCTGACATTACCAAGAGGACCCCAATTCTGACAAGCTGTTCTGCATGGCCAGAATGAGGGGCAAAGTATTAGGGAGTGAGAGTGAACATAGTACACATAGACAAATCTCTACACAGTTTATGCCAGGGACATAGTTATATGGAAAATTCTTGTCCTTCACTAAATTGTCAATTTTAAAGCTCTAACATCCGTACTCTAACACAGTGATATCTTGATATCTCTTGATATTACTTATCAAAAAATATCTAAAGCCAGTGCTGTCCAATAGAATATAACAAGAGCCACATATGCAAGCCACATATGCAATGATAAATTTTCCAGTAGCCACATAAAAAGTAAAAAGAAACAGTGAAATTAAATTTAATAAATTTTATATACCCCAGTATAGCCACAATTATCATTTCAACATGAAATCAACATAAAAATTATTAAGATATTTTATATATTTCATATTCTTTTTTTCATACTAAGTCTTCAAAAGCCAGTGTATATTTGACACAACGCATCTCAGTACAGATTAGCCATGCTTCAAGGATTCAATAAGTCACATGGGGCTAATGGCTACCATACTGAGCAGCACAAATCTAGGGCTCTTCAGTGCAATTGCTATTGTGGTGTACTCTTTTGAAGCCCTCTTGACAACTGCTTAGATCTAAGAGACCTGAGACCCACCTAATCAAGAACCACTAAAAAATCATCACACTTCCAGCTAAGTTTCTCTTATTTGTCCTCATACTTCTTTTCATACTTGTAGTGTATACTGAGCCCTGTAAAACCCAGAAATTATTCATTTTGCTTTAAGTTTTACCATTAAGTGGAAAAACTCTAAAAAAAAAAAACATAAAACAGCATAGTAAGAAAATATCACCAATAGATATTAAATGTTAGATAATAAAATATCAAGGATATGGGACCAAAGAAATCTATCTTTAGAAATATTGCCTTACATGTAGTTCTAGACACTGGTGTAAAATGAATAATATTCTTATTTTAATCAGTATCACAAAGAAGCAGCTAATTTTTCAATAAAGATATAAAATTAAGCCCGACTAAAAAAAGTTTCCTACTAGAATTTTTTGAATTTAAAAAACAAACACTGTTAAAATGCTGACCAAGAGGGCCTTAACATTCCCCCAGCTTAACTAAACTAAATAGGTTGCTTCCTGACTCTAGGCCCCTTGACCTCCCTTTTCTTAGATTACTTACTTTAGAAAACTTGTAATCATAACTTCTTTCTCTCCCTCTTTGAGATGTAAATCATTTTAAAAGCTGCTTGCCAGTTTTATAACCCAATAATATCTTCCTTAAAGTCCAGAGAGCCATCCCTTTGAAATGTAATCATCAAGGAAGATAGTGCTCTATATCCCAGCCTCTATGGGAATGTAGGACGGTAACTTTTTCTTTTTTGAGACAGAGTCTCGCTTTTGTTGCCCAGGCTGGAGTGCAATGGTGCAACCTCGGCTCACTGCAACCTCAGTCTCCCAAGGACCCTAACTGTGATAGACACCAATTTGCACCAAACACAGATGGCCTAATCACAGAGACCAAAATTGTCAACTCAGAAATAACTGCATGGGTACAACACATCCATTAATCAAGCTCCTCTGAAATGTTCTTCAGTACTTTTCTACTAAATCACCCCAGTGCTTAAAAACCATCCTCTTAAAAACTTTGCTTAATAGAATTGATTTCAGACTGTATTCTGATCTCTCTCTCCTATTGCTATAGTCTTGAATAAAGTCTTCTTTCTCTGTTTAACCTTATCTGGTGCAGTTTTTGCTTTGACAGTTCAAATACTTTGAATAGGTCACCACCATCAACTACATGGCTAGGAGTCAAGTCAACAAGAATCCAGAGGATTAGTGTCTAATCCTTAACTGAGCTGGAATAATCAATCAAAACTAATGGATACATAAAGGGGAAGGAACCTATCCAGGCCAATCATTACTCTCTCACTCAACCCCAGGAGGGAGATTATATCTTTCATATAATTGGCTTTGGCTATTATTAACTAGAGGACTATTTTTAAAATTATCTCAGAAGCTTGAAGATTTAAGATTTTAAAGAACAACAAAAGCTTTGTCTGCAGAGAAATCCACAAAGAACACAGACATGAGCCTCCTGCCCTCAAAGAAAGTCTTCTCTGGATTTCTCATTGAATATCTCATTTTAAAAATGAAATCAGAGGAAAGGAAAACACACTTAAGAAAGCTGAGGCTGAAATGCCTATATAGTCAAGATGTGTGTCAAAATAAATATAGGGTTGTGTTTGCTTTTACTCCCAACCTTCCCTTTCTTGTGTGATTAAAAACAGAATGTTCAATAATTCTTTCTCAGCATAACCACACAAGAATAATTTAATCTCTTGAGACTTCACAAGTCTTCAGGGTTAAAATAATTGCTAGTGCTTTTGATCTGAGCCATAACCACCAGATTAACGTCCAGCTTGCCTACAATCACTTCTCTAACTGAAATGGAACCGAGGGCAAAGCTCCACCCATCATTTAAAGACTTCAAAAGTTTCTCTACTTGTTTTAGAAATATGGGACATAATTAATATCTACTGTAGTAAACTATCTGTTTTATGACACTATTTGAAAATACTTACACTACTGTATGTATCAGACTCTGCCCATTATAGATTAAACATACAACCAATGGATTAGAATGTAGCTATTACATCCCCTCTCCCAAGCAGGGCATACAATTTATCTCTATGCTTTTCAGAATTATTATTTACTGTCTTCCACAAATGCATCTATAATACATTTTCTTCTTAATCTGCACTCAGTAATTAGATTCTTTACCCTTACATACAAATTTTCACTCAAATGACAATGTTTAGAAATGAGATATTAAGTTACTAGTTGGGAGTAAAAATTAAAGTCCCAGTTATTTGATATTAATAGATTCCCTCTAGAATGTTAAACCACAGGAGGTGCCTAACAAACCTAGTGCTGCAACTTTTGCCAAGTCAGGATTGCAAAGAAAAACCTTGGAAACTGGTTCTCTTGCCTTCCCCTTTGAAATAATTTACAAATGAGCATATAAATAAAAATCATTTTTCTCTCAATACTAAGATACATTTTAAAAAAGCATCCCAGTTTGCAGCCCACATTTCTTTAGCAGTGTTACTCATTTGCAGGGCTTTATCATTACATTCCCTTCACATAACACTCTTCGCTTTTAGATTAATCTGCTGAAATGAGATGCTAAGGATTTGCATACAGATTTGACTATACAAAAATAGATATGGAATTAATAACAGTCTCTATATGTTTTAATTTCTCCTAGACTGGAGTACCCTTGCCTGCAGCAGTATTCCTGGCTTTGAAAGTCATCAAGCTGATTTGTCTGCTCTGGGTTACGATGCCACATGCTGCTATACTGTCCCCTGCAATCAAAGCACTTGCAAAGATAGATTCCATGCCTTCCTCTATCGAGTATATTTTATAGATTGGCAGTTTTGATCTCCCTCCCCCACCCCAGGGAGGATAATCTGCATCTTAACAGCTTTCTATAGATACATCTGTCATTAAATATGCCATCTCATATCAGCATCCATTTTTAAAACCAAGTTTTCTCTAACTTTGAAGTGCCACAGTGAAAGTAAAGACTTTTCAGCCAAAATTGAAAATGAGCAACCCTGTCTTATACTTTTGAACTGTGACTTAAAGATATACTGCAAGGTCCCCCAAAGTCAAATAAGTCTTTAAAAACTGCCAGAAGGAATGAAAAGTTACCACCATGCTACCAACAGTGAGAAATGCTTTCTATCATCAAGACAGGAGAAAAGCATTTTTCTTAAGCTTCCCTGTACAACTCGCCACAAAATGTTGTGACAAATGGATGAGTGCATACTGGAGAGATGACAAGTGACTGCCAAACAAGCAACCTTTGTCTCTGCTACTGAGATCACTGACTCTCAAACTCATATTCTACTCAAAAGCAACAACTGGTCAATGCCGGCAGTGCTCATAAAATAGAGTGTGTAGAAAAACTGCTCTCATTGTACATGGTCAGACTGGGTCAAGTCTGATGGCTCTGCTAATTTTTTTTTTAACGACAAAAAATACCTCTGTTGGTAAATAGAGTAAACTCCAGGAGTAGATGTCTATGGGTCGTAATGCAGTGCTAACGCACTACCAGGACAGAGTGGGATGCAAAGAACTGATCCCCACACGCAGGGTGGAGGAGCATGCTCCAGGTTGGAATTCTGCCAGCAAATTCAGGATTGAGGAAAACCATCTCAAGTTCTCTGCAACTGTCTTGGAGACCTGCAGTGGCCAGGTTCACACTAGTCTAAGGGAAGAGTTTCAGGACAGGCTGTGGCATTAACATGGGTCCTACATGACTATATCCTTGGGGAAGCCATTTAACACAGCCATGCTCAGCTTCCTCATATGCAAAACAGTGATGATGATACATTCCTCATAGGTTTCAGATGAACTAGAGTGCAAAGCATAGAGACAATCCACAGAGGGAAGTTTGCTACAATCCTGTAGCTGTTTATAAAAATTTCTTACCATTTCCATAAACTTTCTCCAGTTCTTGAAAGACTATAACTTCACGCTTACAATTTAATTACCTAAAGAACAACCTGCCATTAAGTGCAAGTTCCTATTAGTCACTATTTAGAGGGCTACACTCATTGTTAGCCCTTAAAAAAAGTAATACCATAGGAACATTTATAATAAATGCAAAACCAAACTTACCTATTTTTATATGACATTAGACTGTCCATATTTTCTGGATGTTTATAATACTAAACAATTACAGCTAAGAATCTTTCTACTAAATTAGCATCTTGAATAGAAGCATACATAATCCATGCATTAAATTAAAACTAGTATCCATATTATTTCTGTCATACTTGAGGAACCCACACAGATGATGGGTACTTAATATACTCAAAACCTGCAAAGTCTCTAATTTACAAAATACCTATAAAGGCAGGGTTGCTGCATTTGAAAATAGAAATTATGTCATTTAGAGCAAATAGGTGCAAACTTGTGACCCAGAAATATGTAAAGTATGCATTATGTATTGTTTTAAATAAATGAAATGATAAAATGGGGGTGAAATCAACCATAATGCAGATATCAATTAGATTCACCTGCCCTTTATAATCTCAATAATATTCACTCTAACTCCCATTCCTCATTCTGTAGAAAGTTGAAATCCTGCCTCCAAATATTTTTGCACATTCCCAGCAGGGTCAAACTCTCAAGGCCACCTCTGTCTGTCTTTCATGTCCCAGCTTTGCTGTGCTCTTGGATCTTTTATCTCCCTTCCACCATCAGCTAAGTTCTTCAGCCATTCCCTATTTCTATGGCGTAGCTTTAACCATCTTCTCTCCTCTTGGGAATAAAGCAAATGATATTGTTCACATATTCTTTAGTAGAACAATACAGCTCACCATTTAGTTTACCGTCTTTTACTAGACCCATCTAGTTAGACACAAAACAATCATCTAAACAAAGGGGGTTCTCTCCGTGAGAAGAGTTTTGTAGCCAACGATTTGGACATTAAAAAAAACAAAACAAAACAAAACTTTACAACACCAATTTTAAAGGCCATTAGACTCCTGTAGTATGTAATTCTTTCAGAAAAAAATTTCTAATCTACACCAATGTATTTTAGAGTAGTTCCATTTTATCACCTTTCTCTTTACATTTTAAATTTTAGAAACTGAACCGTAAAATCGCAGAAAGACATTATGTGTCTCTTCTCACCCCTGAGAAGAATGGACAGTTAAGCAATTAAGGACAATCAATGATTGTTGATTCTAAACAAATCCCCAGATAGCACTCTGCTTCTGTGTATCATTTACTTTCAGTTTTATGCCATTTGGAAGTTCTTTTTTACAATTTAAGCATCTATTTTGCAGACCTTCACTGTCATGATAAACAACTGGTAACCTGTGTGGTTTGGTGGGAAAAGCATGGTCTAAAGAACCAGAGACACAGAGTTCAAATTCTAACTCTGTCAGCTATAAGCTGTGTGATCTGTGGAGTCATTTAACCTCTTCAAGCCTCATTTCCTGGGCAGTGATGTGAGGGTAAATCAACAAAGTGCAACTTATTCGGGATACAGTTAAGACAGTTTAGGATGAAAGCTTTGTTAATTATTTGGAGAATGTAGGTGATCTGATTGCTTTCTTTCCTTTAAATCATTTAGCTCTCTAACAAGCATTGTAGAATACTACATTTCTGTTTGTTTTCCACCTCAGTTCAATACTAGAGTAGCTTTGTTTTCATCTCTTTCAGATGGGAGGTAGGAAAGATTGGGGCACAAGTGAAAAAAAGAAAAAGTAACTGCTGGGGGCAGCTGGTTGCTAGGATCTAAAGCAACAAAGATTTAATTCTTCATGGACATTCTAATTCACTAGGAACTTTTAAGTGGATGTGCCAAGTTATCCACCTCCTAACCTCTACCAGGCAAGTGGCTTCCTCACATCATGGCCGCCTCCAGGGACAACAAGGGGGCATTCTCTTACTACTTACTCCCGCAACACACACTTTTCTCCCTCAAGCAAATCTTCAGCTCTTGCCTCTCACCTAACTGAGATCCTAGCTTGCTGAACTCCTTCCAGGAGGATTCTCTGGACTATTCCAGTCTCATAACCTTTCATCATGAGTGAATCCACAGATCTGCCTTCTTCAGTCCTCTGCTGAGCACCATAAAACGACAGAAATTTGAAAACAGAGCCACTACAGTTTTGTGGTTTCCAAGGTTAGTGTGGATTCTGAACACCTATTTTTCTTTAACCTGTTAATTCCCTCTGTTTTCTCTCAGAGGCTTATTCCAAGGTCACTCTCCTCAGGCCCTCTACTTAGTCCTGACAGGCACAATCTCGACAGACCTGTTTCTCATTTGAATCAATCTACAAGAAACCTCCTCAGGTTCCTGCCCCTCACCTGTGAGCTTACCTAGGTTCACACCCATAATTATCTCCTTCCCTCCAGGCTTAAGGGTCCCTCCCTTCTCATGTTCAAGACCTAACCCCTGCCCAGTTCCTTGCCTTTCAGTACACTGTCTGTTTTCAATATTGTATCCTCAGGACTCTTCACTGTTCCTGGTACCTGGGAAATGCTCTCAGCGTTTACCAGCCAAATGGATGCCCCTCCTCCCTACACCTTCAATTTCACTCTCTTTCCTTATTAATATATATGCTCGGTGCACTTGCATCCTTAAACAAACAAAATCCCTCCTTCACCTCTGGATTTCGTCTTCTAGCTACTCAGCCAAACTCCCCTCTTGCTTCCTTTTCTCAACCAACTCCCCTCTTTCTTCCTTTCTTTCCTTCTTAATCTCCTTTATTCTTACTAAAGCCAAAATGCTATTTATTAATTTATAATGAAAAAATGAGGCTGTTACATGAACTAAAATATGTGAACAACTAAAAACAACACATTCTCTCCCTAAATGTATACAGGAAGCCAGACTGTTAATTGGAAAGTTGTCTGATAAGCTCAGATTCGGGGAATGAAGTTTAGAAAATATGCTTGTTCATTAGTATTAGACTAAGAAAGGCTTTATCCTAACTTTTTGCCAAGGTAGTCTGCACCTGGGGTTTCTATTTCCTCACTTTTCAATCATACCTTAAACTACTGTATTCTAGTTTCCGCCTTCTTCCAATTTCCTGAAACTGCTTTCACTACAATTTTCCCAATTAAAAAATGCAGTGGAAATATTTTGGACCTTGATATCCCTGTAGTGTTTCCCAAACTTCTGCCCTTAGCCCCTTTCCAGACAAACTCTTATCCATCTCTCTTGTCACACTCTCTGCCTCCTCCTCCTATTATCTCACTTAGATTTGCTCTGAGAAACCAAAGGAAAGATCTTCTCTCTGAGTCTGAGAAGAGGGGGTTTTGAGGAAAGTGAAGAAGTTCCAGCCAGTGAAGGAAAGGGGTGAGAGAGTAGCAGTAGGGGATAGAGAGGGCTGAGAGTGCCACTGTGCGTGATGTGCTGAGAATATACCCATACCAAGCCCTCCTGCTAATTGTCCTCCTCCCACAGGTAGAGCCACCTAGGTACAGGGACAGAACAAGCAGATTACTGGGTTTGTCAAACACTGCATGTTTCCCAGAGGACAAGATAATTATTGAAGTGATTGGACCATGAAGTTCAAGTGTGAGGACAGGGAGGAGTTAATGGATAATAGAAAGTAGCCAATGGACCCGCAGCTAAGTTAGGCACCTCCAGGGTTAAAATAATTCCTCAATTATTTTAGGTGCTACCTTTCCTGCCTTCTGCAATAGTCACTCCCTGCTTTGCACTACTTTTGTACCTTGGAAAGACTTCTGCTGTCACCCTCTAATTACCTGTTTAAAAGTCTGTTCCCTCTACTATATGCTACTTTAATGCTCCAGCACTATCCCGGAACAGGACTTGGAGAGGTTAGGAACTTGAGCTCAGCATCTCATCATGGATAAGAAATGCAGCACAAGTTTTGTGTGTGTGTGACCACGGTCTGTGGTCTCAGTGCACCACAACTCAGCCTCTGCTATGCCTGCTGTTAGTTCCCAATATTTTGTCTACAATTCTTTTTTTTTTTTTTTGAGATGCAGTTTCGCTTTTCTTGCCCAGGCTGGAGTGCAGTGGTGTGACCTCGCCTCACTGCAACCTCCACCTCCCGGGTTCAAGCAATTCTCCTGTCTCAGCCTCCCAAGTAGCTGCGATTACAGGCGCCCGCCACCACGCCCAGCTAATTTTTGTATTTTTAGTAGAGATGGGGTTTCACCATGCTGGCCAGGCTGGTCTCGAACTCCTAATCTCAGGCGATCCGCCCGCCTCGGCCTCCCAAAGTGCTGGGATTACTGGCGTGAGCCACTGCACCCGGCCTTTGTCTACAATTCTCAAGATGTAAGTAAAACAATATCTGCAAAAAGATAAGGCAATTATATTTTTAAATGTTAATAAAATTTTACATTATTTTAATTAATACTAGAAAAACCCAAGTCCTGTTAGTAGCTTTGAATAAATTGAAGTTATTTAAAATGGGGCAATGCAAACTTCATATAAATTTAATCAAGATGAAAATACACATAGCTTCTAGGGAGTTAAGCCTTAACAAATGTCCTTTCCTTAATGAAATATCTGAAAAATTATTTGATTGCCAGCTCCTAGAGGGCAGGAAGTATGTTTGCTAAATTAATTTCATGTATCTGTGACTCAGCACTATACTTTACAAGGATGTGGCATTCACCAAGAGAATCAAGAAAGCACTAAATATTGCTTTTGAGTAAATGCAATAACATTTGTCTTATTTTTATAGTTTTAAAGCACTAACTTTGCAGTTAGCCTCTTATTTTGCTATCATTTGATGAAAATGAAAAAAATAAGCTGTTCTTCATGATGAGCTCAGGATTAATTTTCCCTCACACACAAAAAAAGGTTCTTTTTAGTAGTTCACAAACTATACCTTCCAACAGAGAGCATATATTTTAAAAACACAGCTGTAGGATATTTAAGAGCTTATTTTACCTTGATACTGCAATTTTCAAATCAAAATGGTATGGAACACTTGTGAATTGGGTCACAATGTCAAACGCTACAGGAGCCTGTACAATTCGACTCTAACATCTTTAATTAAATGCTAATGGATATGTACACGCAGCAGGATTTTCTGGATTCCTTTCGGCTTGTCATACTTTTAAAAACTATAAACAGGTTTCAAGATTTCCTGACCCCAAAATGGACCAAAATGGGGGAGAGGTGTGGAGAGGGAGTGAGCACGCTGGAAATGTCAAGTCTCTAAAGAAACATTCATTCTGTGTTCTAGAGAACAGAACCAAGACCCTAAAATCCACCTTCTATAATCCATACTACCCCCACCTCAGGCAAAGTTTGCAAAATACCAGAAGGATGCCAATGATTCAATTCCCATCAATTAAATTGGAAATACATGATTACTTGGTAAAGGATAAGGAATAGCCTCAAACATTTTCATCTGCTCCAGTAAATCAGGTTACACTCCCAACTCAGTGATAGGCAGGGTGAACTATACCTGTATTTTTGTTAAGGGGCCCATTAGCAAATCTAGTCACCCCTCCCTATTCATGTTTAGATTCACAATTGATTTATTATAAGCTGGGCCTGAGGAAAGAGGCAGATGACTGAAGGTATTAGAAATGTCACTGGCGATTTCCTCTTCTTTCCAATTAAAGATATTGTACTGTACACAGCAAAGTGAGTTTTTCATCTCAAGTACACAGTAAGGAGAAACAAACCTGAGAAAATTGTGATTGTTTTCATTAAGTTTGGTTAACAGAGGCAGCATATATTAGTGCAAAAGAAGAACAAAGAAAATGTATTTCCTTTCACAGTAGGAGAAAAACAAAGTGAGATAGCAATAAGGATCTGTAATAGGTTGATAGATTTAATAAAATGGAAAAGGAAACATATAGACACATATTGAAAGGGAAGTCAGCTTGATACCAGGACGACGGATCTAGCGAGTCTAAGAGGAGCTTCTGTGCTTTCTTAAGGCCTCACTGAAGAAGGTATTAAATCGTCATATCTTTAAGACTATGTAAGGGAAACCCCAGCATTCTTTTACAAGCTAGGTTTACAGCCAAAACACAAGGAATATTTATTAAAATATTTATGAGAAATTCATACAAAACTTAGAAAATGCAGTGCAAAATTTAGGAATACAGTATATTAATAATATATGAAACTAAATGAGTCAATGGAAGGAATGTCAATTGGGAGAAAACATAAATGGCATTGATTTCATAAACCCATCGTTGTTTTGCCATCCAAGACAAGTACAGATCTGTTCCTTCTGTTAGCAAAGACTTATTTGCTGCCTAGCTTGAAATTTCTCCAGCACAGCTAAAAGAATATAGTCTTGGTGGTTATTAACTGTTGAAATATACATTTAAAGAAAAAGGAACAGTAATTAGATAAATGAGGTTTTAATTTAAATATATCTACATATACTAACATACATACTTGTTTCTAATGTTTCTTTGGTATAGAGCCAGTAAATGTTGGGTCCACTTCATCTGTCTGCTTCCTTAGTCCTAGTCTTCCCTTCATTCATTAATTTATTGAGCACTTAAACCCTGATGTGAGCTAGGTTCTGTCAATAAAACTCAGTGAATTGCCAATAACTGAGGCACCGCTCAGAGAAGCTGAGCCTGTGACTATCTTCCTGGTTATTGAGGACAGCAGAAGAACAGTCAAAGTCCAAATGAATTTAAAGAAGTGCAAGGGAGAATTTTGTCAGAGCAGGTGTTAGAACACTAGAGACGATTATTGAGGAAAGCTGAGAAGCCTTTGCAGGTGTACTTAAAAGTAATGATTTCTTCTAAGTACAAACATCAGGGTTATTCTTAATATTTAAGTTTTTTACCCTTTCTATTCCTCTTAGTGCTTGATGACACAGAAATCCAACAAGTTCCATTTGGATTACAATATGAGTATCTTCCAACTGGGAGAAAATGCAGCTTTCTTCCTGATAGAAAAACCTTTCAAAGGAGAACACTTAGGGCCTTTCTCAAAACTAAGATTGAAAACACATGTTTATAATGTGATGTTGATAGCATATGCCTCACAGACTCCTTCTGTATAAGCAAAAAGGCAGCCCAGAGGGGTGTGATGGGTCTGTGGGTGTAGAGAAAACAAGATTGGCAAGGAGTAGTTAATTGTGGATTTTGGGTTGTGGGTACATGGGGTTCATTATTCTAGTCTCCCTACTTTTTCCATAATCAAAAGGTTTTCAAAAGAGATGAAAAGGTAAACTAGAGCTCAAACTGTACCATCAGTAAAAATAGGAGAGTAAATAGGAATGAAGGGTTAGAATGGCACAAGTAACTACCATTCACGGATAATTAAAAACAAACAAACTTTGTTTTAGGCTGGGCACAGTGGCTCACGCCTGCAATCCCAACACTTTGGGAGGCCAAGACTGGTGGATTGCTTGAGCTCAGGAGTTCAAGGGCAGCCTGGGCAATGTAGTGAAACCCTGCCTTGACAAAAATTACAAAAATTAGCTGGGTGTGGTGGTGTGCTCCTGTAGTCCCAGCTATTTGGGAAGCTGAGGTGGGAGGATCACTTGAGCCTGAGAGGTGGAGGTTGCAGTGAGTCGAGATGGCACCACTGCACTCCAGCCTGGGTAACAAGAGTGAGACCCTATCTGAAACAGCAACAACAACAACTTTGTTTTGGTAACTTAAATCCCTTCTCTCAATGCACAGCATAGTGATTACTTGGATATATACCTATTGATATACCCAGAAAAATGGATTAACTGGGCTTATACTTCTCTTGCCTTGTCTTTGATGAAATGGCTCTAGTCAGGTAGCCAGGGGTGAAAGAAAAAGCAAAGGACCTAGATAAACCACAAGCTGTGCAATACAATCCATGAATAATCAAGAGCTGACAGGAGAAGTTCTGGTAGGAAAAAAACAGTTGTGATGGACCAACAATTTCCACCTTGAATTTTTATTCCATTAGTCACTCAGAAAGTCACAGAAAGGCATATTATTTCCAATTACATTGCTCTCTAGAGTAGGTGCTCAATAAATGAATGTTAATTAGCTAAAATGGCATGCTTGGTTCAATCTTTCAATTACACATGGCCACAGTATTAAAGCTTGACTTTTAAATATATACCACAATGAAAGTGTGTTTTGATAAATCCAACATGAGGTATGTTCTACCTGATATCCAAAGAAGACCATCAGCCACATATCCAGCATGGCATGAAAGGGATCTGTCAAAGGACTGAACAAAAGTCCATTTGTTCTTCTTGGGGCAATATCGCTCAACTGTAGGCAGAACCTGGCGCAGTTCATTTCTGCCCCCAACTGCATAGAGGTATTCCTCCATGGCACCCAGCACAAAATGCTCCCGGCAGTTTTTCATGGGTGCTATCTCTGCCCAGGAATTACTGCGGGGGTCATAGCGACAGGCAGTCCTCACAGCACACGTCCGGCCACTGGCATGCTCAACTTCCCCTCCTGCCACAAACAGGAAGTCCCCCATGACTGCCACACAATGGTGGCTCCTTCCCACAGGCATGGGAGCCAGCTCACTCCAGTTGGCAATGGCAGCTATGAGAGCATTCTCCTGATCAACAGGATTGAAGTACCGAAGTTCCTTGACCTTGCAGACCTCGCGCTTTTTCCCACCAATGATATACAGAGTGTCTGACTGGAATCGTGGTTTGGTCCTGCGAGTCTGCCAGACAGGCTGTGCATAGATGCTCTGGTGGTATTCCAGGGCCTCGTTGACAAGGGCTGTTGCAGTCTCACTTGCTTGGACAAGGGGGTGGGACAGGGCAACTGTATGGAGAGTATCCACATCCATTAGGCCAAAGCGGATGTATTGCAGGAGCTCGTCCATGTACTGGTAGTGGCAGTTGTGTTCCAACCACCTCACAGCTAGCTGAAACAGAGGGAAGTGAGATGAGAGGAGACACAAAGGTAAGAAAGAAAGAGAAAGCAACAGCATATAGGTAGGTTACCTGTATTCTTCCAGGCAGGTAATAATACAAACTTTCTTACAAACAGTATAACTGGAATATTTTGAAGCCCATGTGAGGAACTTTTTTTCCGTCTCAGCAAAGACACAAAAGCACTCAAGACATTGCTGTAGGGGTAAGAAACAATGTGAAGCAACACTGATGGGGGCTTCAGATACCATTTGGGGTGAACAGTAATTGATTTTCAAAGAATGAAAATGCTGTTGTGAAACAGCCTGTTCCCTTATGTTTCATGCATAAGAGGCTCAGTACACCCCACCACCAGGAAATGTCAATGGTGGGAGGTGTCATCAAAGCTCAGGTAATATATGTCAACCCATAAGCCAAGGTGCTGTATCAATATGAGTAACGTAAGAAAATATGTGATCATCTGAGACCACAGGGTGTACTTGAGAGAAAGTCAACATAACACTAGCAGAATGATTTAGAAAGAAAAAAGACTCCCCCTCCCACCCCACATCCCTTTAGTAGGTATAACAGTCAGGAAGCAAGAAAAGAAAAAATAAGATTCTAACCTATTAATTTTTTCTCTCAATTAACTTTTACCTTGAAGACAGTTGTAATTTGCACATGTAAGATACTGGAAATTTGTTAGAGTCGTTTGCACAAAAACAGAATATAGAGGAGATCATCTTTGTATTATGAACATAATAGCAGAATGTAATCCTAACCTTTTTATTCCTTTCAGATCTCTTCTAAGAAGGAAAGGAGTTATAACATTTTGATATGAGCAAAGAGAATTTCTTAAAACTAAAGCAGGTACATTGTCATACATAATAAAAATTATTGTTTAATTTTGTTATAATAATTTTATAAATAAAATTATATATTTATTATTAAATAATAAAGAATATTGTTTCATTTTGTTATTTATGATAATGTACCTGCTTTAGTTTTAAGAAATTCTCCTTTTTTTTTTTAAAATTAAAAAAATTCATCAGGGCCAGGCATGGTGGCTCACGCCTGTAATCCCAGCACTTTGGGAGGCCTAGGCAGGCAGATCAAGAGGTCAAGGGTTTGAGTCCAGCCTGGCCAACATGGTGAAACCCTGTCTTTACTAAGACTACAAAAATTAGCTGGGCGTGGTGGCACGTGCCTGTAGTCCCAGCTACTCGGGAGGCTGAGGCAGGAGAATTGCTTGAACCCGGGAGGTGGAGCTTACAGTGAGCTGAGATCCCACCATTGCACTCCAGCCTGGGCAACAGAGCAAGACTCCATCTCAGGAAAAAAAAAAAATCATCAATGAAAAAACCACAATTCATTTATGGAGCACCTAAAGTAATTTAATTAGTGTGACTTAATAGTTAAGTTTGGCAAACCTTCCCACACACCAGCATAATGAAGTATATCTAACATCTCAGTCAACATATTTGATATGAATTATTCTTAGCAGCACTTACATTAAAGTAGATCTCCCAGACAATGTGAATGTGAGTCTGAAGGAATTAGCAGGAAAGAATGAAGCAAAGAAATAGAATATTAAATAATTTTGATAGGGACAGGAGGCAGGAAATTCTGGGCAGAAGAAGATGGGTCCCCACTGAGGGCCCCACCCTCAAGCCTGGCACCGCAGCCCAAAGTGAGAACATACATTCCTGTTTCATGCTGGAATGTTGACTTTTCCAAAACCACCCATGATCCACCCCACCCCCCCATCCTGTACCCATAAAAACCCCTGACACAGCCAGCAGAGAGGAGAAGTGACTGAACATCAAGAGGAGAAGCAGCAGCTAAATGTCAGAGACTATAGTTGGAGAGAAGTGGCTTGACTTCAGAGGGACAGCTTGACAGCATAGCTTCAGAGAGGAGTCCAACAGGGGATGGCCAGACTTCAGGGGAAGATTACCTTCCCACCCCATCCCCTTTCCAGCTCCCCTTTCTACTAAGAGTCACTTTCATTGGCAATAAAATCCCCCACATTTACCGTCTTCATCTTGTTTGTGTGACTTCATTCCTCCTGAACGCCAGACAAGAACTCAGGTGCCAAGAGGGTGACCCTCCACTGAGCTGTTAATATTTAAGCCATCCACAGATGGCAAAGATAAAAGAAGGTGTACCATAACACTCCTTCTGGAGCTTTGGGGGCTACAGGCACTCCCCACTAGATGCTGTGGTGGGGCCTGCACAGAGTTTTGCTCCTGCCAGTGCCCAAAAGCACTTGCCAGGTCCTGCACTCACTCACCTGCATGTTCCGTCCCATGAGGGGTTGGGTGCAGCGGGTTCGAGTGAGTGAAGTTTACCTCTGCTGGCACTGAAGCGGCTGGCTAGCCCCAGCACCCGCATTCCAGTTCCCGCCCGTGAAGGGGTCAGGGAATCTGGAGGCCCGCCCAGGATCTTCCTCTGGGAGCCTGCCTAGGATACATCAGAAGGGTGAGTAAAATGCAGATCTGTCTCTTCTTGTCCTCAGACTTTCTTCTGAGCTATGCCTCTTGCAGGGGACAGGATGCAACACTGCCATCTCTCTCTTTCCTGCAGGTGAAAGGAATGTTGGCTCTGTTTCCCTTCATGGAGGCTTAGCCACCATGTGGGACCAGAATAAAGTCCTGGGGCAACTGAAGGCATCTGGCCAAGGCCACTCCTCAGTGTTGCTGGAAGGCCCCTGGACTGGACCCAGTCCCAGATGTAACAGGTGGTTGGCTAAGACCCCCCCCCCCCAAGACTTTTCTGTGGTATCTTTCCTTTCTTCCTTTGTGGTTTGAAATGGCTCCTTATCTGTTCTTTTATAATGTTAAGGTTTTGCTACAAACTTCAGAAATGTTACTAAGTAGAATAAGCATTTGGCCCAGCAATCAGATAAGCAATTCAGAACAATGTGAATTGCCACAACCATCCCCACACCAACAGCAGCAGGCTTCTGTTTTGAGTTTGCCCCTGCCGGCACCGAAATAGCCAGCTAGCTCCATTGCCCGTGCTCCGGTTCCCGCCTGCAAAGCTGTCAAGGAAAATATCCTGCTTCAATTTTATCGTGCTTTACTTCCTTTTTGAACCATGGAATCAGGATTCTGGGCTTCCCTGTTCAGATAACAGATTTTACTGGGGGATCAGGGGAAATGTACTGAGGGAGGGAAGAGGAAATGTGGTATTCTCAGACCACTGCTCCTTGGCAAACACAAACTGGGTTTTCAACCCGGTGAAAAGAATCACTAAACTCTCTAAGGCACTAGATGATTTCAGACATTCAGAGTTTCTGCATCCAGTTGAAAAAGGGCTCCAGAAAGGCAAGATGCATTTTGGGCTTGTCTTTTTAGTTTTCTGAATGAAGTGAACGTGGAAGTGAATTCACTTCTGCTACGTCATGAATTGCATCTCTTAATGAGTGACAGAGTGAGAGAAATGAAAAAGGAAATGTCGCTAGGTGCCAAGGAGGCAGACACGGTAGAGGTCAAACAAGCGATACACTCTAGATGCTTTTATAGAAGGTAGCATTTTTAACTAAATAAGATACCAACCTGACAAAAAATTATCTATGTATGGTAATATCTGCAATAATCAAAGATATTGCAAAAGAAATGAGTGATATGGAAAAATGGTACTCATCAATCACCAGGTCTCTGCCAGAAGTGGAGACAGTTCCCACATGCTGCACCCTAGATTTTCTCTACCCTAATCTTGGAATTTTCAAGACACGGGGTTCCAATTATTTCTGGGGAGATTGTTCAGCAACTTGATAAATAATTTTCCACTCTTTGCCCACAGTGTTTTTAAAAGTTCTCAGGGATAAAGTCATCCAGCTCAAGGTCATTTCTTATGCACCAGGGAAAAATTTCTGAAACGTAATATTTGCTATTGTTCCTAATTTAGTCAAGTAATTCTAGCTGATATTGCTTTGCTCTGCAACCAATTTCTTGGCATTCTTATATCCTTACAGTTCTGCATCCACATAGATACTACCGGAAACAGCACTAGAGACATTAGATAAATATCCATGTCTCCATAGGCTCTTTTTATAGCATAGTGCTGCCCATTTAATTATTTTTCTCTCTCCTCATAAATCAGCTCTTCCTATGCCATAATCAATCTTCTGGCCCATCTCTGAACACCCTCCGGTTTATCTTTATCTTTCCAGCAAGCAGTGTTACTAACTGCGTGAGAAGCACACAAGCCTCAACTAAGCTATGCTTTTAAGAAAAACTCTAAAGAATAAAATTAGCCATGGAACGGTGACCACTGTGATCTATTACTGATTAATTTCTGGTTTGTGGTCTACTATCATCCCACATCACATGTGTCATGATGCTTTCTGTGTTCAATTTCTCCAAATACTATGTATTACAGAATATTTTGTGCATAACTATTAGTTTGCATTTTCTGAGATATTTTTATCTTATTTCTTTCCAACATTTCTAACTTCTCATAGATTTCATATAACTTTCAACTTTTATCATTTATTAATATTTTCAGACTATACAAGTCATCCCTACTTGTTGGGTTTATATTTTTTTCCAGATCAAAGGTGAATCTAATTTACAACTAACCATCTTGTCACCAACTACAAACTTAACATGTACACAAATTACACGGGGGTTTCTGGTCAAAATGTAGGCTCTCATTCAGCAGGTGGGGGACTGGAGGATGAGGAGTCTGCACTTCCAACAAAGTCCTTGTTGCATATGCCACTGGTCCATGTACCACACTTTGAATAGGAAGGCTTTGGACAGATTTCCATTCATAACAGTATTCTCCTATCAGGCTGTCATGAATTTAGTTACTCTACGAAGCTGTATTTATTAACTGTTCCATCCACTATGGTAAATTGCTGCCTTATCAGAGGAAATTCACTCTGTTTTTTAAATTTAAGCAGGTATAAATCCAGTGAAGTTGAAGTAATGCTTAAGTTATGATATAAGATACTTAATTAGCTTAATATTACGGATGAGGTAGCATTTTTTGAGACCTTGGTTCTATACAGTCTATAAATCGATGGCTGATTCTGATAACATAAAGTAAGCCATAGAAACACTCTGCATTTTTGCCTTTGCAATAATAAACACATAAATGTAAAAGTGTTACTGTGCTCTGTTTTTACGTTCATAAGAATCTAAAGGAGAAACCCCACTGAAATCACAGATAACTCTTGTTTATTCAAATAAATAATTAAAAAATGGCAAAGAAAATTCAAAACAATGGGCCACTTCAAAATCACCTCTGTGCTGTGAACCTCATCTAACATTATTCACTGCCATGCTGGTGGAGGGAATCCTGGAGCCCATTTAAGGAGCTTAAAGACTACTACAGTAAGAGGAAAGCTGATTTATCATTGGGGCATCATAAAACCCAAAGACAACAGTTAGCTTTGTGGTATATTTCGGTGCTTAAGCTTGAAAAAAATTATTCTTGGAACTGGTGGCTTTTAAAATAATGGCATTACACTGAGAAAGCACAACTCAGGGTAAGCTGAATCCTATTCTATCTTATTTATTCTGGCATACTGAAATCCCTATCACCATAAACTCTAGGATTTAATGGGGAAGAAAATGGAGCATGCAGCATTTTTGGTGGCCAAGCCAGCAAGAGTGGAAAAGAAACAACAGATTCAGTTTAGGAGGACATTACGAAAGAGTGCTTAGGAAACATGGCCATTAGGTAAGACATTTCCTAAACCACCTGCAACACAGCAGACCGTCATTTCCATGTACAACAGGAGGTCTCTCAAGCACCCTGCCTGACCCAATTCATCTGACCACAATGGAGAATTGTTCCTTCCTAAAAGGAACATTAGCTACAGCTTAATCCAACTTCAAACCAATTGATCCTCAGATATTTGCTAAGAACAGCACCTGACCCACAGTTTGCTATACATATTTGTGGCATAAATGGAAAATTCGGTTTTTAGGCTATTTCTCAGATTCTCTCAAACAAATAGTATCAAATCCTTTATTCACACATACATACACACATATTTATTTATCTATCACAGGCTTCAGTTTTCTATTTTATTATCTCATCTTTATGGCTTTCTTATAAGGCCTTTATAAGCCCTCAAGGCTCCACACTGCAGCATACAGTGCCCTAAACTTAGATTCATAAGCCCTTGTTTTCTTCCCTCACATGTTTGGTGTTGGCCACTTCTATTTGAGATTCTTGGCAAAGCAATAAGCATTGCAGTGTTTTAAACCTTCAAATAAATTATAAAATATTTGAGCAAGAAGAAAGCTGAGTCCACTTGGCTCAAGCTTTTAAATTTTACAAATGGAAATCAAAACCAGACAAGTTAACCGACTTAACCCAAGTCATACAATGAATTAGCAGAAAAGCTAGAACTAGAAACTGTTTTTAACTTATACCATGTATTTTTTAATTATATCTACTTGCCATTATTTTTCCATCAATAATTATTTCAAGGGAAAATCCAGGCAAATGCACTAAGTCCAAACATAACTTCTTTTTTTTTTTTGAGATGGAGTCTTGCCTTTCGCCCAGGCCGGACTGCAGTGGCGCGATCTCGGCTCACTGCAAGCTCCGCCTCCTGGATTCACGCCATTCTCCTGCCTCAGCCTCCCGAGTAGCTGGGACTACAGGCACCTGCCACCACGCCCAGCTAATTTTTTGTATTTTTAGTAAGAGACAGGGTTTCACCGTGTTAGCCAAGATGGTCTCGATCTCCTGACCTCGTGATCCGCCCGCCTTCGCCTCCCAAAGTGCTGGGATTACAGGTGTGAGCCACCGCGCTCAGCCCAAAAAATAACTTCTATATTCAATAAATTAGAAAAATAAATTCTGCTTTAAAAATAAGAATGTTTTGCTTCAAAATAGGTTGGTAGTATTTTTCAGTGAGCCTCATTTATGGATTACTTCAGAAATAAAGACCATAGGTTTATGATACCAAGTAAAGAGTTTGTAATTAAAGAACAAATACTGAGGGAAAAGGACATGTCTTGAGTGTTGAATTATTGCTTCCCTTTTTATGAGAATACATATTTCACATTTAATTTTTTTTTTTTTTGAGACAGGGTCTCCTCTGTCACCCGGAGTGGAGTGCAGTGGCGCAATCTCAGCTCACTACGACTTCTGCCTCCCAGGCTCAAGCGATTCTCCTGTCTCAGCCTCCCAAGTAGCTGGGATTACAAGCGTGCGCCATTACCACCCAGCTATTTTTTGTATTTTTAGTAGAAACGGGGTTTCACCATGTTGGTCAGGCTGGTCTCAAACTACCGACCTCAAATGATCCATCTGCCTTGGCCTCCTAAAGTGCTGGGATTACAAGTGTTAGCCACTGCACCCGGTCTATTTTTTAAATGTATTTTAGTTCTAGATTATTTCTTGTTAACTAAATTTGACCCAAAAATATACAGAACAGATAATCCCTTCCCTTTAGTTTTCTCAGCATATCCCTACTGATTGCTACTCTACAGAGTAGAATATATGATATATAATCCTAAACATAATAGTATAATTCTAAATGCTACAAATTTTGTCCTAGTTCAATTAAAATATGCAATTTAATCATATGTATTTCAGAAATATATCAATTATATGAAAAAAGTTATATTCCTAACATTATCAAGTCCTCATATTGTGATTCTAATTCCTTTATTGTTCATGTGAAACACACTCAGACAGAAGCTGCTGTTTTGATATCTAAAATTCCTGATTCTTTTAAAGAAGTGGATGTTTTGAATTCCAACTGCTTGTATATATCCATATATATTATACACTATGACCCCAAAGGAATGCCAAAACAATGAAAATGTTATTCTCCGATTTCCAGAAAATACATTAATTATGAAGACATCCCAAATTCAAGAATAAACATTATTGCACTCTTCCATAGAACTGTCTTTATATCTTGCAAATATATATAAATACAAGTGCCCTTAAAAAGCAGGCTCTCATCAGATGAGTGATCAAATCTTTTAAAGCAATGCTAACAAAGAATAAAGCCCTATGTCATTGTCTAAAAGTAACAAGTATTTTTTTTTTGTCTTGGTCTACAAATATTGTCTTTCACTGAAAGGATGTTCTTATCACAGAGCTCATCATGAAGAGCTGAGTAAGCAATGACTGGTCTTTTTGCTCATAGCCTTTATTCTGCTCCTTGGCCAGGGGCAGCTATTATTATGTTCCTATGTAAAATCTGGTTGCAGATAGCTCTGCTGAAGGTGCACACGGAGCCCTTCTCTTTGCAGAATCCCACGCTGTGAGGCACAAGTGTCCATATCCTTACCAGTCTTGTCATCCCATTGAGGTAAGCCAGGGCACCAGTCTCCCCTCAGTGCACAAAAGGCAGCACAAATTCCACACTTCTGCAAATTCAGAAAAAGACAAAGGAAGGGCACAGGAGCAAGTCAAAAACTCACTCCTGAACCTCCATCAAACAGCAGGGCATGTTGATGAGCTCTTGGGCAACAAGAAGTAGGAAGCCAGGAAAGCGTGTTTTAATAGAATGGATGATGATGCATAGACGAATCTTTTCCTTTCTAAACAGAGTATCGAGCATGCTCTTTATCTTCTAATTTGTGTTCTCAAAGGGAAGAGTTCAGTGATCATTCTATATTAAAGTACATTGTTTTAGATATTATTTTATAATGCCTTGAATTCTAATAAACATAAAACTTTAGCATGTTATCCTTTTAATATTACATACAGTTTCTTTAAAAATGTGATGTTTCCCTAATGCAAGTGAGCAGGTGTTGCGATTTGCCATGCAATACTACACAGAAGCTCACCTCTTTAACGTGAATCATGTAAGGTGAAATAATGGTGTCATAAACCAGAATAGCAACTGCCATAGAGAGAAAAGTGTATACTAATAAATAAATGTGACAGATCTTATAGTTACATTCTCTTCCTTGAGACCAAATGAAAAGTTTCAGTTCAAAAAGACAACTTTCCCATAAAATCGAAAAGCACCAGAAACTAGGGACGCAGCATCAGAGCATTTTCCTTTACCAGAACAATGAAAATGTTACCATGGAGGAATATTAAAAATTATAACAGTGCTCACCTGAGTGCTATAATTAAAACTGCGTCAACATTTTCCTTGTAAGACAGATCTTTCAAGGGAGATTGCACATTAACCATTATAGCTGACTACAGACTTATGTAAGACACATAGGCTATTTTTTCTTCTAAGAAATATATTTCAATGGAACCAAATCTGATGAGGCCCGAGGCTCATATACTGTAAGAAAAAAAACCTGACAGATTTTTAAAACAATATTCAGCTTATCACAGATGATAATAATACATTATTTCATTGTTCCTTTAAAACTTTGGGAAATTGAAAGATTGGTAAATGTTATTATGTTCACCTTTAGCATAAGATTTGTTCTCTGGTAATCATCTTTAAACACATGTTTTAAAGTACATACTTCAGAGTTCCAAAAGCGAAAAGCCCTTGCAACTAAAGGTGTCTATTTCCCACAAATGGGGATAAACACACAGGACTGGAAGAACCACAACAAAAACTACCCTCAGACCTGCCACATGTAAGTTCCAGATATTTAGTGGGGGTGCATGAAAAGTGACCTGAGTTGTCCCTTTGCTCAATCTTATAACAATAACAAAAGAGGATTTATTTAAAAGGTAAATTTTATATCAAGATGAAGAGAAAATCAAGATAGGATAAGAGGTGAGGTTAATAACCTGTGATATCTTCTCTACTTGTGAGATTCAGCCACCAGTGTAAGCTGATCTTTGGAAAGCCAGTATTAAAAGGGCAATGTGAGTATATGGCTGACATTGGATCAGTTATTTGGCTCTCATTTTTAAAATAAATTAGTTGATGAGAGAGTCTCCTCCTTCTCTAGGATATACGTCACCTATGGATCCACCAAAAATATTTTAAAGTAGAATTCTCTAATTTTCCTAGAGGTGGTAGAGGCAACCAAAATTAATCTAGTACCCAAGTCACAGGTTTCTGTAGCACAGAGAGTTTTGATAAATCTCTTTTCAGAAAAACAAGGTGACATTTTTTTGTCTATAATTCTGTGCTCAGCAGAAATGTCTGCGTGAATGTTTGCATGTATGAAAGTGCACATGCACGTGGGGCCAATGCAGAGAACTAGGTTACATCATAGTCACTCTCCCTAGGAACAACTTTGATCAGATTATATCATGAAACTGAATAATAATACCATCTCTTGTAAAAATAAAATTTGTGCCAAAGAATACAAATTTCAAATTTATTAAGGTGACTGCTTCAAGGTAATATTGGTTAGAATCCCAGAATAAGATTTTATACATGGCTGGGCGCCTGTAATCCCAGCACTTTGGGAGGCCAAGGCGGGCAGATCACAAGGTCAGGAGATCGAGACCATCCTGGCTAACATGGTGAAACCCCATCTCTACCAAAAATACAAAAAATTACCCAGGTGTGATGGCAGGTGCCTATAGTCCCAGCTGCTCAGGAGGCTGAGGCAGGAGAATCGCATGAACCTGGGAAGCGGAGCTTGCAGTGAGCTGAGATCGCACCACTGCACTCCAGCCTGGGTGACAGAGCGAGACGCCGTCTCAAAAAAAAAAAAAAAAAAGATAAATTCAAGTTTTAGTAAATTGTTCACATATATTTTACCTCTGGACTGTCTTTAAATGTACCATTCCCTCCATGAGGGAATACAGTGGTATATTTACATTTATATACGTTTATTTATATATAATGGGCATATTTATATTTCTATGTTTATTTATATATAATGGTATATTTATATTTATTTACCTCGTAGAGGTAAATATACCTTCATGATGGTGGAGGGTGGGGGAGGAGGGAGAGGAGCAGAAAAAATAACTATTGAGTACTAGGCTTAATATCTGGGTGATGAAATAATCTGTACAAACCCCCATGACATCAGTTTACCTATATAAGAAACCTTCACGTGTACTCCCAAACCTAAAATAAAAGTTATATGTATATATACCATTCCCATCCCATATCTAGTATATACAAAACTTTTAAATGGCGAAAATGTCCTACAGGACAATAAAAAACAGCACCACCCTTGCCAATGATGCCATAGGAAAAATGAAACCCATTCTTGGTCTCCTCATATTTGAGCAAAACACATGTACAGTTATAGAATAACACCCTATAATTTCCCTTCAGTGGTTTGATCATAGTCTCTGAGCCAAAAGACAATATTCATCCATCTAGTCATTGATGGCTGGGATTGCATCAGAGCATTACTCAATACTGGATTGATGACATGAGACTTCTAAATAAAATGATAGCTCCTGCATATTTACATAACATGTCCTACTAGATGTTGAAGGAACTTTGCATGTGGTCACTGAGGTATTTAGCTTATATTGTATAACTACACTGGAAAATGAGAGAAAACCAATTTGGTCAATAAAAGAAAACCCTTCTGTATCACATTGGCAATAGGGACTAGAGTGACCTCATGTGGGTCACAACACCCCCCATTGTTTCCTAGCTACTGCATGCAATAAGGATGCATTACCAGGGTGAAGTCAGCTGAAATGGCCAGGGAAATCCTGATGCTTTTTTCTATCACAAATTGGTATATGCCTATAGAGGTAAATCTGACACAAGGAAAAGAATACAGGACTTGATGTCAAAAGACCCATTTCTGCAACCTAATATATTTGTGCATTTATGAAAAACCAACATGCTGATACTCAGTTTTATCAACATACTGATACTCAGCAAAACAAGTATGATAATACCTATGTCATAGGGTTCTACGGAAGACTGAATGCGATCAGACATGTGAAGGTGCCTGGTAAACTGATATTTAGACAATGTACAGAATTTATATGATGGCAATATGCCTCCAAGAGATGAAGGTATTCCCCAATATAATTATCCTTTTAAATTCATGATAAAGCCATCACATGCAGACCATTTTTATGTAATACAACATTGTGTGTTAGTGATGTAAATTTTGAGAGATTGCTATAGTTGATAAGAAATTTGCTATACAGTATTAAATACTTCACATATTTAAAGTGATAATAAAACCATGGCAGCACAACAGATTATAAACTAGCTCTTATGATTAACCATATTTCACACAAATAAACTCAGTAATTCTAATCCAGTAATTTAAGTTCTGTGGCTTTGTTAAATTCAACGTTGGAGAAGCATGAACGAATGCATGAATGAATGAATGAATGAAAAGGGAGAGACAGACTGAAACCCAGTTGTTTTTGTACAATACTCAGCATATAAGTCACTTTCATCACTTGGCTTGGATCTCCCATTACAAACACTTCTCGTTTTCTTAAGTGTCCATTATATGTCAGAAACTTGGTGAGAAAGATTCTAATCAGTGTATATCAACGTTCTCATTTGCCATTCACTTCCATTAATATCATAAAACTCGAGGCTTATTCTTGATTTTGAGTGTCTTGATATGTTCCTGTAAAATATTCTAATGAAATTTGGAATTGTTGGAGGTAATCCTGCAAATCTGGAAGTTTAAGCCTTTTGTAGACAGATTTTTCAGAAACGCACACGAATCATCTTTCTATGTTGTCATTTCATTGGTGTTTTAAATGTTGCTGGCACATTTATACATTTTATGGTTTAAAAAAACTGTTTAATTTGTAAACATGCATCCTGAGAGCATTAGGCCTTTGAATATTTGTTCATGAATTGATTCAAGAATAATGAGCTTGGCTGAATGCAGTGGCTCATGCCTATAATCCCAGCACTTTGGGAGGCCGAGGTGGGAGGATTGCCTGAGCCCAGAAGTTCAAGACTAACCTGGGCAACATAGGGAGGCCCTGTCTCTACCAAAAAAAAAAAAAAAAAAAAAGCTTGGCTGCAGTGGCACATGCCTGTGGTCCAGCTACTTGGGAGTCTGAGGTGGAGGGATCACCTAGGCCTGGGAGTTTGAAGCTTCATTAAGCCATGATTGTGTCACTGCATCCAGCCTGGGCAACAGAGCAAGACCGTGTCTCAAAAAAAAAAAAAAAAAAAAAAGAATAATGAGCCAAGAGCACAAGAGCACGTTCACTGGCAAATGTGCTCACCATCTGAAATCAAATCTTCAATATTATAACCAAATGGACCTCAAGGGCTCAAGCAGCTGCCCCAGGTCACTGACATAGGGACAGTCAGATCCCTCAAACAAGTGGTACTATGATGAGTTTAGATGTCCAGAAAGTACCCAAGTTGCATTTAAGGATTTAATGTTGGCAGCCTCCAAATAAAAATAAAAGAATAGTCAAAGGTAACTTTAAACATCTTTTAGAGCCATGGGGCACAGAGACTGGCATGGGGGAACCCATAAACTGAAGCACAGGACTAAACACTGTCAGGGCCAGACTCTACTGTCAAGGGGATAGGACAAGGAGCACTGCCAGCCAGCTGGTAGGGCTGGGGAAGGGGAGCCAGGGTCTACACTGTCAGTGAGCTGCAAAGGATATACATAAATTTGATGGCACCACTGACTACCTGTACTAGGTGAATTTCAGTCTGGCTACTGATGTTGAAAAAGCATATTTTGCACTGCCTTCTCTAACTTCATTTCATCATAGTATAAAAAACTAGGGAACTATGAATCCTCTATTTCTACTTTGTAACACCTGTGAGTACAGTACACACAATTTATATATATATATTTATATATGTATTTTTTGAGATAGAGTCTCACTCTGTCACCTAGGCTGGAGTACAGTGGCACAATCTTGGCGTACTGCTACCTCCACCTCCTGGGTTCAAGCAATTCTCCTACCTCAGCCTGAGTAGCTGGGATTACAGGTGTGCACCACCGCGCCTGGCTAATTTTTGTATTTTTAGTAGAGATGGGATCTCACCATGTTGGCCAAGCTGATCATACAAATAATATTTTTATCGAAGAAGATACCCTCTTCACCACAATGATCACAGATTTTTTTTTTTTTTAACCCAAATAGAAATTTCAGAGAAGATTTGGGCCAATGCCCAGGTAGTCATATCAAAGGATTTGGGTTCCACAAGGATCATTACAAACAATAAATGTCAGATAAGTCTCAAAACAGAAATCAAGCATGTAAGGAATCAAAGCAGCAGAGACAGGGGGGCAGGGCTTAGTTCGGGTGGGAGAAGTGGCCCAGAGAGCCCAGCGTGCAGCAGTCATGCAAAGAAGTCAGAGATGTAGAGAGATAGCCCTGTGGTGGAGAACCAGCCGCCTGATAGTCTCAGAAGACTCATGAGAGAAGAGAGGACTGTGGAGGAGGAAGGAATGAGTAGAAGGTAGTAGCTGTTGCAAAAGAGAATCTGTAGGATAGTTGAGAGAAAGACTGTATTGCAGCCTCACTGAGAACCATCAATGTCGAATGAAAGAACACAGGAGTCCAATCTGGGGAAATCACAGGTCTGAAACATTCTTTATCAGATTAGGAGGAAGAGCAAGGTGAACCCTGAAGATAGAGAAGGCCACACTGAAGAGGAAAAAGAAACTGGGCCCCATGAGCAGGCCCAGCCTGGTAGCAGAAGCATGGCCAGCACAGGCAGGCAATGAAAGGCAAGAGGACCCAAGCGGGAATATCACCGTTGAGGGGTGCAGTCTGGGTGGACAGAGTCTGCTTGAGAGCAGGACAGTGGCAGTCATGTCATGCAGGTGTATGAGGGAAGAAGGCCCTCTGTGTTGGAGATGACTTTGATATAAAAAGTACAGACGTGGGGAAACTCAGAACTCAGTCAGGCTTAGACCAGAAACAATTTGACAAAATGAGTTATGCTTTCTTTAAGATGAAACGGCCTTTGCTTGAGTCCCATTACTTTAAAAACATAGCGAACCTATAAGATAAAATAATTCATTGTCACAGATCCCACAAGTTAATATGAAAATTAAACTTTGCATTACTTTTCTAATAGCAAAAACTATTGATTGACTTGACTGATGCACTTCTCTCCAAATTATCTTTTTAGTTCCCATTGCTTAACCAAAAACAAGACATAACAAAGCAATAATTTTATGAAGTATCCCTGAGGTCTATTTTACTATTTTATAGAGCTAAAAAAATAATCATTTGTGGTGTACTGCAGTGAGGAATCTTGTGAGACCATATATACACAATCCCATTCTCATTTATTTTTTAAATAAACATTTTAAACAGAACTGTTCATTAAATAAGGGCTGCATTAAAACAGCAACTGGATTCAATGACTTAATTCATTTTTGGAGACTTCTCAGGTGAGACTGAATGATCACCTAATGACTCTCTTTACTATTAAAAAACAAATAGGGTTTTTTGAAAGCAAGAAAAAAATAATGTGAAAATAGAACACTTGAAGTAAAATTACAATAATTATGATGCTGTCACTTTAACATCTATAGACTTAATTGTTTTCCAATTGACATGTGAGAAAAAATGTCCCAGGCTAGGTAAAAATATGCTGCTGAATGTTCATTGGAGGAAAAAAAAATAATGAAGACAACAAATAAAAAAAGGCAAAACGATTCTAGCTCTCAGGTGCCTAATATATGATGAGACCACTATGCATAGCTTGGAGACAGAAATAAAGGTTTTCCTTTATTTTTTCTTTTCCTCTATTTTTCTTTTTTAAAGGGTATGCATGAAAGCGGTACAAAGCTCATTATAACACAATGTGAGCTGCACATTGTAAACACCAGCATTATTAGATGTCTGTATCGTTTTTAGCCTATACTTCAAATAGCTGCAAGATTAGGTGCTGGATTTATACAAATTGAAATTTGCAACTTTTAAAACCTTAGTGCTTCCACAGACAAATCTCTGTCTTCCTTCCTCAACCCCTCCCCTATGTTTGCCAAGAAGGAGGGTAAAAGGAGTAAGATGCTGTGTTTGGAAGCAGGAATTCTACAAACTGTTGTGAGACATGCTAGTGATAGAATGGGGCCTTCACTTTCATATATGTGCCCATTTTGAATTTACTGCATTTGCTGGTTACTGTGCGAAACAGGGCAGAACAACTGTGTGAGCTGCTGCATTAGCAAACTGGCTAAAGTATCCCTGTCGTTTATACTTTCCCACTGCACAATCGGAATGGAAACATTTGCTCTATTGGAAGGCAGTGATAAGGACGGATTTTTAAAGTTTCCATTTTTAAGTGAAAATGAAAGCAAAATGCTCTTCTAGATGTGTTGTGCCTTTGAGCTCCATTTGAAAAAAGAAAAAAAAAAGGCAGAGAAAGCTGCTGTGAAGGTCACCGAGTGAAAGAACTTCCTCAGGGCACAGAATAAATTAAATCCCAAGGAAAAAATAAAATGTGATTTCCAGAGTGTGAGGCACAAACTCCAAATGACAATGATTGACAGCCAAACTATATCCGTGCAATATCCAAGACTGCACGTTCTCATTTACCTCAGTGTAGCCAGCAAGCGCCCATTAAACATCCGTCTGATGCCCAAATTAACCTTCTTGGCAAACTGAAAGAGGCACAAACTATCATAATCAACCTTTCATTATCACAGCAGCCTCTAGTTAAAGGGTCAGAATAATTGTGCCATCAGAGCCTTGATTGTTTTCAATCAACAGACGGCTGGAGTGACAGCTCGGTGATGGAGGAGTCTGATGAAACCGCACCAGGCCTAATCAGAGCAGATGAAAGGAAGGCATGATTGGTGCAAATGAACAGTCGTGCCTCTCCTTTTCATTTACAATCTGAAATTACTCTTAAATTTGCGTGGTTTTTTTCCCTCCCTTATGAGCACCACTGAAAGAATGTTTGACTTATTATGAGTTCTGACAGTGCAGAGTTATAAAACACAGGTAGGGTTATCAGCTGAGGCTTTAAGTGGGTATTCAGCATAATTCTAACAAATTCGCTCTTGAAAAGCACAAAATGACTAAAAAGGCTTCCAATGACCTAACCTCTCAGTGCTGTTTCATTAGCAGACCCATTTATTCTGCTGCTGTTAAATGATGAGAAGATAAAACCAAGGGCAGGAATATCCTGTAAATGTTTTCCCCCCGTCTCACTGCTCTGCTTACTTCAGTATTAGTTCCTTTGCCCCAAAATCCTTACAGTTCTCTAAAAGCAGTAAGAACATTAAGAGCTCAAAAGAGCTCATCCATCAGAGGGCATGCCTCAAACAGGAGTTGTTTTTGCTTAAGAACTTGATGCTATGGTGGGAACCACAATTGGTAGGAAAGGGACTGGAACCCACCAATCCAATGTGGATATCAAAAAGAATATCTGGGGAAAAGGAATTAAAAATTCTGCAATAGGCCAGGCTAAATCTAGCATAAAAAGGATTTGGAGAGAACTGAAACACCATAAAGCTGCATCTATACAGCTGCTTCTGTTAACAAACTATTGGCATTAACATCCTTAAAAAGTTTAGTGATGAATGGAATATATACGCTTGGAGTGGTGAAAATAAGCTTCTACTTTCTATTTTCTTTAATGCTGAGACCAACGAGCCAATGGTGGGAGTATTATGATTTAGGTCAGTGCTGCAAAACAAAGGAAAGCCTTTTAGCTGCAAAGATTAATATGCATCTAATATGTGTGTGTGCATGCGTGTCTACCTGCAAGTGTGTGCACTGTGTGAATCCCACCTGCATATGTGTAAGTGACAGAGGACAGGACGGCTGTTGGCTCAGAATCCAAGGTGGCTTTTAACCTCTTTACTCAAAATTTTTATATAAAACTTATGCCATTTTATTAGCTACGTTGGGTGTGAGAATGATGAGATGGGGTATATAACTAATAAGGTAAAAAGAAGACCTATAAAATAACAGTCTTGAATTTTCCGTGCAATATTTAGCAAAATTTGTTGCCTCTGAACCGGGCCTCATTTTATGAGCCAATTGCTCACCAGGAATGTATCTAGAATGTACAAAATTCATGTCGTTCTACCTACATGTAAATGGACTTCAAGCAGAATATTGCCAAATCTTGCATATGACTTTCTGCAAAATCTCAGAGTTTTTGTTTTGTTTTTCAGAAGACAGTTGTCAAAGAAAGCTATCTGGGAAATGGTTCAAACACATGTATTTTCCAAATCCATCCTCACTCTCACACACACTTTCTCAAGGGCTGCATTCCTCAGCAGATCACTTTACTTCTTGTGTGCTCCCGGGCACCTTCCACAAGCTTTATCAATGAATGACACATGCTCCATCATCTCCTGAGGGTTTAGTTCTCTCAGTGTGGTGTTGGCTTTTTAAGGCATGACTTCCTTCTGCCTAGAAGGCATTTTGTGTATAGGTCAAATAGGAGTGGCTTCAGGATACTGACTACACATGGGGTCGAAAACAGGATTTCCCAGCTGTTTCACAGAGCATGAAGACGAGAAGCAGGCCAATTTGGGTAGGTGCCTATTCTAACTCCCAGAATCCAAGGGGTGTGGAATTAATCATTCTAAAGCACTACACAGCCCCTCTACATTGCCTAAAACTTACATGAGATGAGAAGAGCAAAAAGATTCTTCAGGGGACCTGGCAAACCTGATAAATCAACCCCTTTGTTTACTTCATTATTTACACTTTATTGGATTTATATGGGGCTTCACTCCAAAGAGTACATAGTCCCAGCAGTGGGCAGAATGAGAAATTGATTACAGTCCTCAGCAGGTCCAATGTCATTCTCACTGCCAAAGAGCCTAAAGTGTGTTTGCCACTTAACTAAGCATCGTCCTTTCTGGATGGAGAGGTTTAGTTTTAGTTTCAGCTGTGAGTAATTTTCCATTGTGATTGGCTGACTTATAGTCAATTTAGTATAATTAATGCCAAATTACATTGTAATTCACGTAGAATTACAAATTAAAAGCTATATTAAGAGCAAATGAATTAATCAAAGTTAATGATATTATGCTCACTTGTTTTAAAGTGTTAATAAGATAGGTCCTCCTAAAACGTTTAAACTTTAACGCACCATCCATCACTCCTTTAATTACCCAATTTCCTTGTGTGGCCAGAGAAGGTAGTGGGCATTCCTCATCAACAAGAACACACACAAAGAAGATATGTGTCCTCAGCCTCTGGTGTGTGGGGGTCTTTTTAGCTCCTGTTCTTGAAGCATAAGTAATACCGTGCCACTTACCAATACTGACTTGTAACTCTTCCTATAGACAAAGGAGAACAATGCACAAAATCTTTGATACATAACTTTAGAATCAGTCATTGACTTTTTTTCCCTGAATTTGTCTTCCTGGTTATGCTTTCTCTACCAGAATATCAAAATAGGTTTGCAGTTCATCAACATGCCACCGCACGTAACAAGGAGGAGGTGGTCAGAGGAAAGGGTGGATCCTCACCATGGAGAATGCATAACTCTGTATTATGAGCATAAAAAAAGCTCAAGAATGATGTATGAATGCTTCTCCTGATTATGATCTCAGAATGGCCACTTTTCTCCTCCAGGTGTGTTGAATCAGGGTGTTATTTTTCCTTGTAGCAGAAGTTTTGGAGGCAAGGGTGGGAGAAGCACTTCTAAGGAAGTCAGTATTCAACAATAAATGTTGAGGCTTCTCTTGACATCTCCTTAGAATGTAAATAATTCTAGAGCCTCTGGGTCACTTTATAAGTAAATTTACATCCTCTCCTATAGAACTCCCAGAATAGCAAATCTCTATGGTCTGACACAGCCAATTAGCATGAACATCATTGCTATTCAACTGGCCTAACATTGAAGAAAAAGGACTCACAGGGTCATTTGTGTTGGAAAGAGACTAACATTTATCAATTTCAAGAAATTTATATCTTTCACCCTCTCTCTTGAACCCCATATCTAAACCATCACCCAACTGTCAATTTATGCTGCATACATTTCTAAAATTTCAATATATTGGGCATAAAATGAAGATGGAATGATCAATCATTTCCATTTGTTCCATCCAATCTCTGGTCTCAAATAGGGACAACAGCCTACAGACTTTTTCCCACACAGTCTGTGTCACTGCAACAGAAATAATGGCACTCCAGGTTCTTTTTTACTCTAATTTATGTCTCTTGGTCAGATTTTAAAGAGATCCTCCCTTATCGGCTTTCATTTCCTGCTTTATACTACACCATCGTGTACTTTGAAGGAATAAAAGATGGTTCCCTCCCTCTGCCAGAATTCTCTAAGCATTCTTCCTTATCAAACCATCCAGAGCCTCAGTTTCTGGGCTCTGATCAAGAAAGACCCTCAGCAACACTTTCCTGTACGACTTTATTGGAGACATTTTTGCAACTTCCCACAAAGTCTCACAACAGGTGAAAATGAAAACTGGTAATGTATTAGGAAATGTCTACTTCTGGCTCACTCATTACAGAGTAATATATAAAAACGTTTGACTTATGAGATATATAAGGTACTTTGAGTTTCTGTTTTCTTAAAGAGTTGGTGTATTTCAAGAGAATACAGTGAGACCTCCATTGAAATCTATACTGTGAAGTGAGTCAACTATTGAACTTCTGGAAGCTTTAGTTTTCTCACTAGTTAAAATTTGGATCATACTTGCCTTATCAACCTTAACAAGGGTGATGAGAGACTCAAGAGAAATTATATGTGTGAAATGCTTTAAAATATAAAGCCCTCTAGGCTTGTAAAGAATTATTATTGTTGGTATTATTATTGATGGACTTCTACGCTAGCCTCAGGGTTTCTACCTCATATATGGCTTATAGTTGGGTTTTATTTTTAAATCCCTGATAACCCAGGTTAGCAGCAATATTACTGCAGGGCACCAATGCGTAAGTAATATTCTACAGTCATCTTTTTCCTTCTCACAGCAGCAACAACAAAAATATCAGTCTGGAAACAACATGAATCACAATGAAAATTAGAAGCAGAGAACATAAATATGTCATATCTCATAAATCACCTTGTTGTTCTGTTGTGCTCATTCTTTAAAAAGAAGGAAAGAAAAAAAACTATTAACTCATGAGAACAGCAGCACATGAATACAAGTTGGGTCTCCTGTAATTTCTGATAATCACTGCCCCTCACAGCTACTCAGCAACGCACAGCTCTAGCACTGAGGATTAGCTGGAGCAAAGCCCCTCTGAAATGAACATGTCATGCGTCTTGCAAAGGCATATACCCCAGACAAACAACAGCAAAGCCACGAGTCAAGCTACTGTGGGATGCACCCTCACAGAGGAGTTAGCCGCATATAGATTAGAAGGAAAGATTAAATATATGCTCTGGCAACTAGGAGCACCAATCCCTGAAATAGCAGTGTTACTCTGTGTCCAGCTAGGGGCCCCTCAAAGGATAAAACATCCTCTGGGCAAAACATTATTTGGGATGCAAAGGAGCCACTGTTTATTCTCTTCACTAACATCTAAGAAGAAGGAAATGGAGATACCCTCATCACATTTGTAGAAAAAAACTGTATGTAGTTGGGAGAAACTATAAAAAGTTTCAGAAAGAAAATTAAGAAGTGGTACAAATTTGTAAGTTGGGACCACATGTACGAATTTGATGAGTTTAAGAAATGGTAACTTTAAAAAATAGGAGATATTATGAAGATACCCAGAAAGTAGCTATCTGGGAAAATAATAGTAACAACACATGCATGTATGAAAGAGAATTGGCCGGGCACGGTGGCTCACGCCTGTAATCCCAGCACTTTGGGAGGCCGAGGCAGGTGGATCACGAGGTCAGGAGATCGAGACCATCCTGGCTAACGTGGTGAAACCCTGTCTCTACTAAAAATACAAAAAAATTAGCCAGGTGTGTGGCACATGCCTGTAATCCCAGCTACTTGGGAGGCGGAGGCTGGAGAATCACTTGAACTCGGGAGGCGGAGGTTGCGGTGAGCTGAGATCGTGCCATTGCACTCCAGCCTGAGCAACAAGAGTGAAACTCCATCTCAACAACAACAAAAAAAAAAAAAAAAGAAAGAAAGAGAATTGAAGAAGGGCAGGAACATGATGAAAAATTATAATTTTGTTTGAGGATAAGAGTTCTTAGTATTTTATTCTATTTCTAGTTACCAAGGTCCAAATATTAAAACATGAACACAGCTTGTAGAATTTTTTGATTAAATGTTTACCCACAGCCTGATTTGTTTGAGGCTTGGACTGTATCACATGGATTGACAAAGGTTTGCGAAGCTGTTTAGAGGGTGCATACAACTATCGAGAGTTAACAATAAGCAAAGCATTGAACAAAAGGCGAAGGGTCACTGGTTGGTATTGAAACATCCAGTCAAAAGCATGTCATCTCCATTGTACCCATATCATTTCAACGTGCCCCAACTTGGCAAAGAAATCATTATGCTATTTGGCACAGGTCAGTCCCCACTGGGAAGGCATTGGGCAGGTGGGAAAGAGCAGCAAGCGGAAAGCCCCACATCAGACACTGTCAGGCCCATGACAGCAGGACCCTGTTGGTGCTTCCCATTACTGACTACCCAGCACCCATCATATGGCAGGCAATAGTAGTACCCCACAGGACATGGCTGGGTAGAGCAGGCACTCAATAACTATTTGGAATGAATGAAAGAATGAATGAGGCATATGTCATCTAACAGAATTAGAATTAGCAACATGACACAGACACGGAGGCAGGCACAGAGGCCATGATTTGTTCAATCCATGGGCACTACCCAAGGGAACTAGAATGGTCATGCTCTTTTTTCTGTTTCGTTTTGTTTTGTTTTTTTTCTTCCAGACAGGGTCTCGCTCTATTGCCCAGGCTGGAGAGCAGTGGTGCAATCACGGCACACTGCAGCCTCAACTTCTTGGGCTCAGGTGAACCTGCCCTTTGGGTAGCTGGAACTACAGGTGCATGCCACAATGCCTAGCTAATATTTTCGTAGAGACAGGGGTCTCACTATGTTGCACAGGCTGGTCTCAAACTTCTGGGCTCAAGCGATCAGCCTGCCTCAACCTCCCAATGTGCTAGGATTACAGGCGTAAGCCACTGTGCCCAGCTAATCAAGCCCTTCTTAATTCCTGTTAAAGTCATAGGATTAATTGGATGCACCTCTGTGCCCATCGCCTGAGTATTTCTGAGCTTCTATTACAAATTTAGAAGCTATAGACCAAAGTAGACATAGCTCAAGAATTAGAAGACATGAGTTTGATTCCTAGATATGTAACCTCAGTTTTCCCTTTTGTACTACAGGAGAACAAAGCAATAATAAATGAAGATGCATTTTCAAAACTGTGATGTGATATTCAAATTGGAAGTATTTTAATAGTATTGTTTGACATCTAGTACTATTTAAATTCCTTGCTTCTTCCTGGCCAGAGGTACATTTGGGTCAATTTATCATCGAAGGATAAAAGATGAAAGCTGAGTACATCACCAGTGTCTTCTACTTTCCAACTGTAAAGGGATAGTAGCTTTTTGTTTGGGTTCACTTCTGGGACTCCTTTTGAAGAAAATGATTAATTCAAACTGTAACGTGGCTGATTCTGTGGTATACATAAAAGCCCAGGAGGAGCGTGTCAAAAAAACCACTGCATTTGAGATTGTTGACTAAACAATATGTGGCTTATGTCTCTCAAGATATAAAATGAATGTGTTATTAAGAGTATGACTTAGGGAAGCAAATTTCCAACAAAAATATAAGGAAAAATGCAGTCTTTAAAAGGCCAAACTCATTTTCTATATCAATTTTCTTAGAATAAATCCAGCCTAATGTAGGAATAGTAGGATGTCTTATTATCCATTCAATACATTTTAATATGGAAACTCTACATTGTTGTTTTTATTTATTATTAATAGAGTGCAAGCAGTAGGTAATGCAAACACTACAGCACAGCCTCTGCCTCTAGGGATGGATAATCACGGACAAATATGAACAGGATTGCCCCAGCCCCAAATCAGGTGACATGGTCCCTCTTTGCCACACTAAAATAGGACATAACTTGGGTTTATGCAATTACTTTTGCACCAACCTAATAGAATAAAGGAAACCCTCCCTGCTGAGGTCTTACCTTGTTTGACGCCACTCACATAGCCAGCAAATTTTTTGGTCTTAATATCTACTTAAGTCCAGGCAAAGTCAGACTCAGAATACAAGTAGGAAGTGTCCTCAACCCCCAGGTTAATGAAGTAAGAAAAGTACTGTTCTTTTTTTTTTTTTTTTTAGCTGGAGTTTCATTCTATCATCCCAGCTGGAGTGTAGTGGCGCAATCTCCACTCGCTGCAACCTCTGCCTCTCGCTTCAACTGATTCTCCTATCTCAGCCTCCAGGCCTCAGCTGGGATTACAGGTGCCTGCCACCACACCTGGCTAATTTTTGTATTTTTAGTGGAGATGGGGTTTCACTATGTTGGGCAGGCTGGTTTCAAATTCCTGACCTCAAGTGATCTGCCCGCCTCAGCCTCCCAAACTGTTGGGATTACAGGCGTAAGCCACCGCGCCTACCCAGAAAAGGACTGTTCTTACAAAATAATAAGTTCTCACTAAAAGTAAGAAACAGTTAATACATTAATAATTAAAGGAAAACAAAACTTCCCACTCAGAGATAAAGGTGAAATAAATTTCCTTAACCTAACTACTGAATATTTTTGTAAAGCATTTTACCCCAGAATCTAGCTCCCAACACTATGCCTAGCATGTAACAGGTGGTCAAGAAATATTCATTTTTATTTCCACAAGCTGTTTTCTTTCATTTTTAAATATCCTTCTTGTTTCTGCTACTTTGGAGATAAAATAAAAATTCAGAGAGCTGTACTTATGGTTTAAAATCAGGAGGATTCTCTCCATTTGGGAGGAGGCCTGGAAGAGGGAAATGGAGTTGGCAGATCTGTCCTCTGCCTTCTTTCCACTCTAGCATAATTTTGGGTATTTAGTAGGTGCTCAGTACATACTGATGGGTGGAGAGCCATACTTTCTCCCTATGCTAGTGTGTATAAGAATTGATGTTATATTTTTCTATATAGGCTTTTTCTACAAATTGTACTTCCATGGAAAACAGTAATCTCCCTCTTACTCTGGTGAAAGAGAACCTAAAGGCAGAAGAGGCAGGAAATGCATGTTCCTGAAAAGAAAACAGAGCTTACTCAGCACTTCCTATGGAAATGAAAACAGATCTGATCATGAGAATGATACAGAATTACTTCTATGTGTTGTTCTAAGTTTTTTTTATGAAGAATTGCCATGTTTTGGCTTATTTATTTAAAAATATTTTATTGACAGATAAGGATTGTTTAGATTCAAGGTGTACAATATGATGATTTGATAAGCATATACACTGGGAAATGATTACCACAATCAAATTAATTAACATATCCCTGGAACCCATGCTCTATATTAGATCCCTAGAACTTGTTTATTTTCTAACTGAAAGTTTTGTGCCCTTTGACCAACATCTCCCCATTTCTTGCACTCCCCAGCTCCTATGGTAAGACCCTGGCTCATCAGTCTGAAAATATATGCAAAATCTAACAGAAGATATTTAACAGGGCCCTACTGAAATGAAGTTCTAATTGGGAGCTAATATCTGAAAGCAAAATCAAACAGATAGAGATTTGCCAGGTCACAAAGGCAAGTGACCTAATGTCCCATATTTCCATTTCAGCTGATTTGTTCAGTTTTAGTCTCCTTTCTTTGAACCCAATAGTCAATTTGGTGTCTTTCATCTGGAACCTGATAAATTGCTGGCCTTGAAACATAAAACCAAATTGTTGAGCTGAATTGAACTAAATTTTAAAAAAACAATATATTTTAGGGAACTTCTATGTCCTTATCCATCTAAGGTATGTATGTGAACAACTCTCTATGTTACCTCTAAATATAGAGTGAAATTAACCAACAGATCAAGTCATTTCAGACCATGGAAGGGATGAAAATTTGTCTAGGAGGAACCAAGAAGACTTCTGTGAGAGAAGAGACTCAGAATAAAGCTTAGAAAGGTCAGATGGAAAAAAAAGAACAGTTCCAAGGCATCATCTTGGGGTATTTTACAGGTTCACAGATCCACAGAATGATTACCGTGGCCTGCATACAACACATTTTGTCAAGGAAAGGGCTTGGGTAAGGAACAGCAGGAAAAAGTGAAAAAGAGTTGGTTCGGTGAGGTTAATTTGAAGGTTCTTATGACAGGTCTTCAGAGCCAGACTGCATGAAATCTGGTGAATAATGAAAATTAGACCTTTCACCAAATATGGGATGGTCCCAGATGACATTATCAGTACATAGTAGAAGAGCCACCTGCGTAAGTGTGTGTGTGTTTACCATGCTCTCATCTAAGTTACTGGTTGCACATATTAATCAAATAGCACGCCCCCCTCCATCCAGTTTTCTATTACCTGTCCTACCTTGTGCCAATTTCCTTTCTCCTCCCCAACACCTTTTGCTTCACACTTCTTCTTTAAGACATGGGATAGGGATTTGTCAAAGTCAATGAGCACTTTATTACAGTGAGAACGTTCCGTAATGAACAATTCAGCAATTTAATGAGATTCTGTAGATCTGTCTCCAGCCTGTCCATCAAGTTTCACTTCTATAAAGCACCCTGACACTAATCCTCTGGCATACCCAATCTCTACTCTGGGCTGAATATTAGATTCTTCCATGGTATATTGCATTACTAGCATAACCTCAGCAAAAATGATGAACTTAACTATACTTGAGGCAAAATAGCGGTCTGATTTGATTTTTCTCTATGGGGTTGAATATGAGGGAAATACTTATTTACTAAGATAAAGCAAAAACAGTTTCTTATTGCCTGCTGAATGCCTAAATTGATAATATTTATGTGAGTCTTTTAATTCTTTCTTGAGGACCAGGTATTAAAAAAATTATTGCCTGCAGCAGAAAGCAGCTTTTAAAATTCTACATTATAATATTAGTAACCTTTAGAGAGGCAATTATGATAACTCTTAAGTGGATAGTATGGAATTTTCTTGACACTCAGCCATCTGCACATTACCACGTCAATCTCTGGCAGTGCCTTCAACTGCGCCACAAAAAGAGATAGAAGCCACAAGGATGGTTAGCCTCAGATGTCAATTCAGTTAGAAAAAATTAAATGCAGGATTCATTCCAAATCTTTCTTTTTCCCTTGGGAAGTGAAGAAAATTTGACTACTTCCCATTTTGAATTGACCAAAGTAAATTCTGTTGATTTGTGTTTATAAGAGAGAGCCAGAGATAATTGAAATTTCTACCAAAAACAGATCCTTGTCAACCTGTTCAACCTCTGCCTGAACAAACATTACCAGAAATACCCAAGGAGCCACAAAAAATTTATTCTTTAATGTTTTTTTGGTCCTTATATTTTCTTTATCAAGACAGTGTGGAATATTGAAGACATGGGGGCAGGTGTTAGCAGACTTAAATTTGAAGGCTGGCTCTGCTCTGTGACTCTGAGTAAGGCACAGAAGCCTCATTTTGTTCATCTGGTACATGCAGTGATAATAGCCATTCTTTCAGGCCTGCTGTCAATAAGTTTGCAGAGAGCCTGGGACCCAGAAGGCCTTCAGGACGCTGCAGCTCTTTAATTCCCTCTGGTGGAAGCAATAATGAAGAGGGAAGTTACTGATTAAAGTAACACAAATAATGAAATAAGGCAGAAAGGCATCAGGAAAATAATCAGTCAGTAGAGTTAGCTACTGAATAATTAACAGCTACCTATATGACAATTTTGGCCAGAATTAAAATACTCTCTAAATATTACTTGATAAGATACCAGGGATTCACTGTTTAATCAGCTAATAGAAGACTTTAAATTTTCCCTGGTAGTCTGTATATAATTATTTTTCAAATGATTGTGAAATCTTGGAGGCATGGCACCCTACAAGTAACAAAATGGCTAGCCAGTGCTTCAGAGAGTGAGATAGACAGGCTGTAATATGGAGGAGGAAGATAGGCTCTCTGACTATTCCCCAAAGACACCAAGTGGATTTTTCAAGGAATAGTCACTGGGGATGAGCAGAAGAGGATTTAATTGAATAATCAACTTCAAACCACAAAACATCCTCCTGTCCTCTAGACAAGGGAGCGACACAATGTGAAAAGAATGCTATGTCAGGCGAAAAGGCAGGGCTTAGGAAAATAGCAATGAATGCAGAATGAACTAAGGATGGAGATTTTTCCACTGCCATGCAAGAAGAGCTTCATTTCATTCGAGATCCAAGCTGCTCTCTATTGCAACAAAGAAATGTTTCTGAATTGTTTACAGCAAAGGCCCAAATTTACTCTGATTCTCCTGGTCTTAAATATGCATATATATCACTTTACAATCCATTTTTTTGTCATATTTTGTTTAAGAAACAATTTTTATCAGGAAAAAAACATCCCTTGACTCAGATGTGACCACGTTAGGTTCTGGGAAGCCACAGTGAGGGTCTCATGGATTGCCCCTGCAATTCCCTGAGTTAAGCGGCAGAGTCCGCTGAGGGCTCTGAGCCTCAAGGGCCAGTGTTCTCCAATCACTTGTCCATCAAGGAAGCATGACTTCTAAAACAACTCCATGAGGACCAAAGCCACTAAAATAGTGGTAATTGTTCCTCAGTCCTTTAACTTCCAATCACGGCATGCTTTTTCAGTGCCAAAAGCGACCGTGCACAGCGCCCTTACCTGCCAGATCTGCTCTTCACTCAGGGAGGTCAGGCGGTCGCTCTTCAGCACCTCCTGAAGCAGGCAATAGGGAAGCGTTAGAACTTCTTCTGGGCGGCTCTTCAGGAGTTCAGAGAGATGTTTCACTAAGAAATCGATCACTGCCTTCTCCAACAAAGTGAGGTTAAAGAGGTCAGCAAGTCTGTACAGATCCAAGTAATTAAAGCTATTTAATTCCTGGGTGCCAAAAAATAAAAATGAAAAAAGATCTCTTAGAAATAAATCCGAGAAAGAGCAGGCAAGAAATTCAGATTGACTCACTAAGGTTTTCATCACAGTGGTGGGAGAAATGGGAGGGCTAGTATAAAAAAAAAAAGAAATCACAATTATAAAGTTCTGCATAGAGAACAGCTATTCTAGAATTCATAATTTTTCCTCATTTTACTCCTCTTAAAACCCATATATTTAAAGACATCTTAATAAAAGGAGTGAAAGGGGTCTCTGGTTTCAAGGGCTGAAATGTTACTTTGCAACATTCTAGAGACATTTTACTAATGAGGGCAATTGCTTTTTCTACCCTTACCATATTTTACAGCTTTTTCTCTACTAAAGATAACGTAAGGGCAGGTAAATGGCGATTCATGATTAGATGACATAAACTATTTGAAGACAGACTGACTCCGCTCTTTTTCCAAAACTTCAAACTAAGTAGGTCTTTAAGTCAAAACAACCCATCCTGTCTTAACTAAAATCCAGAGTTTTATATACAAGGTCTCAGGAAATGAGGAAATCTCACAGAAAAGACTCCTGTTTGAATAATTCTATATTGAATCCACCTAAGATGGATGATTTGTAATTGTTCTTTGTTTTTTTCTCAGCCTCAGACATTCCATTCTTCCCACCTTTTTGAAGAGTTTCTGCAGAAATGCTTCAAATTTGGGAGGATTTTACCTGCAGTCTCAAGCTCATAGCCAGGGCTCTACAATTATGCCTCCAGAGAGCCACAGCTTCCACTGTACCTTTGTCACTGTACCCCCACAAAAATCAGAGATACAGTACAGTTGTTGAAAGAAAATTTGCATATGTCAAGTAGAATGAGAGTGGGCTATTTCCTACTTTCCCCTCACTTTTAACTTACAATTATTAATATAATTATGAGCAATAGTTTTCCAATAACTTGAGGAATGTATAATGCTATCAGATATCCATTTCACTCTATAAATCCAAGTAATTTTCAACCTACTTTTCCCCTTTCTGGTTACCTGAGAGTATCAAGAACTCCTTACTGAGGTGCATAGTTTGCACCTCAGCAGATAACTGTATAAAGTGGGGAGCTGAAGGAAAAAGAAAACTCACCCCAAGGCAATGACAACATAGCACACACTCCTCCTTTTGGGGCAGATGGGCTTTGTGAGTCTTAAGCAAAACCATTGCTTTTTGTCCTTTTGGTTAAACCATGTGTAAGCAAAATAAGCACCAATAATGCTGCTTTTAAATTTTCCATTAACGTGATGGGGGAAGGTGGGAAGCAATAAACTTCATTAAATGCCCAACAATAGTACGGTGGATGGGAAACAAAAATTACTGCTGTTATAGAAAGAGTGCCATTTCTAGTTATAAAAAGTAATAAATGCTCATTTCATAAAATTCAGAAATACAAAGTATGGAAAACAAAAATCCTTCATAATTTCACCATGCAGAGATAATCACTATTAATGTTTTTGTATATATACTTCTAGACTTTTAAAAAATAAGTCTTTTATATGTTGAAAAAAGAGAATAGTTGCATTTAGGACCAAACAAACCATCAGCCACCACAGGCACCTGGAGGCAACCAAGGCAGGCAGAGAAGAGCAAGGGCGGTGGAGGCAGGCAGACTCGGCTCAAATCCAGCTTGACACACCATTGGCTGGGGCCTCGGGTCAGTCACTGAATCTCTGTTATTCCCCAAGTACAATTTTTTTTTTTTTTTTGAGACGGAGTCTTGCTCTGTCGCCCAGGCTGGAATGCAGTGGTGCGATCTCAGCTCACTGCAACCTCTGCTTCCCAAGTTCAAGTGATTCTCCTGCCTCAGCCTCCCGAGCAGCTGGGACCACAGGCGCGTGCCATCGCACCCAGCTAATTTTTGGATTTTTAGTAGAGATGGGGTTTCACCATATTGGTCAGGCTGGTCTTGAACTCCTGACCTCATGATCCGCCCACCTTGGCCTCCCAAAGTGCTAGGATTACAGGCATGAGCCACGGCACCCAGCCTTCCCCAAGTACAAATTTAAGAGCTCAACAAGCTCATAGGGTTGGCATAAAGATAATGTATGAAAAGCACTTACCATAAAAGTTTGGCACGTGGAAAGTACACAGTAGGTTGCGGGGGAGAGCAAGAACAATAAAGTATATTTGAGCATTGTTGTTTGGGATCCATAAACCATGATTAATCACTGATGCAAAGAGGTCAAAATGAAGCATGTGTTCTCTTTAAATATTCAAGTCTTGAATAAGGCACACCATTAACTCAGGGAAAGAGGGGGTGGCCAAAATAAAAACCATAGAATTAAGATAAAAACTAATTGCAAGTTAATGCCTTCCACATCTATATGACTGACCCACATCTTTCTCCTAAGCTCTGAATTCATTTTCCCAACTGCCTATAAGAAGATGCTGTCTCTTGGATATCCCACAGTCATAAACTCATCATGTCCAAAGTCCAAACTGAGCTTTTTTCTTTCTTTTTATTTATTTATTTTTTTTTTTTGAGATGGAATCTTGCTCTGTCGCCCAAGGCTGGAGTGCAGTGGTGCTATCTTGGCTCAGTGCAAGCTCCGCCTCCCGGGTTCATGCCATTCTCCTGCTTCAGCCTCCCGAGTAGCTGGGACTACAGGCGCCCGCCACCATGCCCGGCTAATTTTCTGTATTTTTAGTGGAAACGGGGTTTCACCGTGTTAGCCAGGATGGTCTTGATTTCCTCACCTCATGATCCGCCCGCCTCGGCCTCCCAAAGTGCTGGGATTACAGGTGTGAGCCACCGCTCCCAGCCTAAACTGAGCTTATTTTATGATAGCCTGCATCTACTCCTGTATCTCCTCTTTTAGATAACAGTCACATCTAGACACCCACATCAAGAACCCAAAAGCTGGCCTACATTCCTCCCTTACATCTAGTCAATCGCCAGTCCTGTCTCTTTTTCCTCTTTAGTATTTCTTGTTCTGTTCCTTATCATCCCGTCTGGACTTCTTGCAACAGTGTCCTAAATTACCATTCCTGCCTCCAGCAGCAAACTCTCAATCCTCTCTTTTCACAAGAATCTACCATATTTATCATCTCTTTAAAACCCACTGATAAGTCTGATAAGTTATTTGCTTTGGGGAAAAAGTCCAAACTCAGTAACACTGTATAGCCTTCCATGACCGGGGCACTGCGATCTTCACATCCTAAGGTGCAGCAACCCTATCCACCCTGGCTTGGCTCTAGCCATGACAACAACCTACACATTCACACCATGTGCCAGGACTACAGCAGGAATTGGCAACACAGATAAGCAAAAAAAGGCAAGCCCTAGGCCTTATGGTATATATAGTCTACTGGAAGAGAAGGCCATAAATCAAAAAACCTTACAATTACATGGAAAACTATAACTGAGGTAAAAGCTACAAAGAGTAGAATATAGGACTATGAGTGTCCATAACAGGGATTTGACTTGGAGTTAATAAAGGACTAACTTGGAGTTGACTTGGAGTGGAAAGTTAGTAAAGGCTTCCCTGAGAAGCCGTTTGATGCTGAGAGTTGAAGGAAGAGCATCCTTTGTTCACTTGGCAAAGGGTGGGATGGGGATGTATATTAACAACATTTTATTTCTGTATTCTCCATGTTCTGGCATCTGGGGTTTCACTGACTGAGAATAGACTGCCCCTCCCAGGGCTAGCCAATTCTTTGAGAGAGCAAACGGCTTTCATATGCAAACTAACCAATCCAGAGCCCATACTCTAAATCACCTCCTCTATGTGGCTTCTACACTCCAGGAGGCAATAGTCCTCTGTCCCCATCATCCCAGGGCCAAGTACCAGACAACCAGAGCCAGCCCCTACACTCGTGAACCCATGGAAACTTTCAAACTAGCCAATCATAAGCCTGCTAACCCTGCTTTGCCCACTTCCTTCCTGCAGATACCACTATAAAGACTCTAGTCCACTTTTCCCCCCTCACTCCTTCTACCTCCTCACCAACCCTGGGGCTTCCCTATGCAGTCCTGGAGGTGTGGTCTGTGCCCTCTTATTGGAGCAGAAACAAATCATGTTTTCAATGGTAATTGTCTCCTGATCTGTTGGCCTCACCATAACTCAATAATAACAAAATCTACATTTTAAAACAGGATGATGGTAGGATTTCAGGGAGATGCTCCAAGCCAAAGAAGCAGCATGAGCAAAATTCCTATGGGATAGGAATTGTGTTTCCCTTGTTTCATCTGAATATCCTATACAGCACATCTCCCTTCCTCTCCATGTCACCGTCAATCACATTTCTCCATCTTATTTGTTTTAGAGCTTGTCACCACCTATAATTATCTTCAGCATTTATTTGCCTACTTGTTTATAATGTGCTTGTCTCCTCCCCTGATCCCCCAGTAAGCTCCATGGGAGGAAGGAGCTGCTGGTTTGTTCACCACTGTATCCCCAGAGCCTAGAACAATGCCAGGTACGTTCAAGCCACACTTGCTGAATGAAGAAACCATATCATCTTTTCAACTTCCCTGGGTCAGGTCAAATTGACCACCTCTTCCTGTGTACTTCTACTCTGCCCTCTGCAAATATGTCTAGCACATCACTTGTCACTGCAAGCACCCTTTAACTGCAGATCTATCTCCCTCTACCAAATCTAAGCTTCTCGGAAGCAAAGATTGTGTCTCATGCCTTGTGTGTCCCTGGTATCCAGTAGGGAGCAGATGCTTAATACATGTGTGTTTAATGAAAGAATACCCATGAGCTTTTTCTGTTTACTTATAATTAGGCAAAAACAGAATAGCCCATGTCTTTCCAATATGCCTATCCAATTCTGAACCTTGTCCAAATCAGGCCATTTTTCATATCTCACAGGCCTTCCTGATTGTCCCTTTCTCTTTCTGGCCTTCTGACACGTACACACAAAGGCAAAGCCAGTGGTCATCCTGTTTTCTGCGTGGGAAAATTGGTAATAATGACTAGAGTTGAAAGTGTTACTGAACAAGTATAATATAATCATTCTTCTGTGACAAAAAAATCAATCCACCCCAAATTTCTTTTACAGTCCAACAGAGAATTATTTCCTCTATCAATTGGCTACTTAGATCAAAAGATTTTAATATCTTTTCAAATGATACTTTTTCCTAATTACGAGATTGTCTCAGCTCTCCTGCATTCTGTGACTTAAAAATGTAAGTATCCAGGTAGCGGTAGTGGTTTTGAATGGAAATTACAGCTCAGCAACAAGAAACTCTCTTGAGTAAAAGAAAATCTTACTCTTTTTTTTTTCTAAAAAGGTTTCATTTCTGTCACACTGCTTCTCACTTGAAATTTAGTTTCTATTCAGAATTATGGTGCATACATTGTTGTTCTTTAGGGAATATTTTTAAATAGTATTTATTTTCCTTTGGTTTAGGGCTATTTGGCTTCTCTTATTCCTTCTATTTGTTTCTCATAGTGTGAATGACAAGTTAAATAAGAGAAGAGGAGCCATAAAATGTGTCCTCAATACCACACTAGCTATGGAATAAACACCAGTTTTTCAAGTTCAATAATTTTTAAACTTTATATATTCCCCAAACTCAGTCTTTCTGTGTGGCCTCTTTCCCTAATTGGTTCCTTCAATGGTTATTCCCCAGATTAACTACCAAATACGGTAGGGGTAAAAATATGGGAAAGGCAAATATTGTTTTATTTTGGTTTATATTCAAGTGTAGTTACATTTGCAAGGCAATTATCGAGCAGTTAGGACATGAATGGGAGGAAGGAGGGCAGTTTGAGGACAGTGTTGATCCTGTGGCCTTTCAGCCCACCCTTCCCAAGCCAGTGAAGGCAGCAAGAGAAGGAGGAGTCTTGGCCTCGGTGATGTCCCCTGGTGGGTCTCATCTGCAGCAGAGTGGCCATGGCCTTTGCGGTGTCTCTCAATATCTCAATTATGCAGGAACTACTAATAAATGACCAAAGTTCATACAAGAAGTACTTTGTTTATAATTTAGAGTAGATTTAAGCCTATGAAATAATGCCACCCAGACTCACTTGTATTCTACTATACCTTCTTGAATGAGAGAAAAACATGCAGCCTTATGCCTAGAGTCTGCATATTTACCACACATAACCCACAGCCTAGCTTAGGGATGTCACGCTCAAGAGCTGTGTCTTGTGTGCCAATGATGATACAAGCTGAGAATCATCTGAATTTCTGAAACATAGTCTTAGTTTTGGCTACCGCCGTGGCTCCCTGGCTTGTCAATAACCCCTTGCCCATCCACACTGCAGTTTAATCATGCCTCTGACACAGAAATTATACACATTATGCATAATTATATGATATCTGTTTGTGGGGTAGATAATGGAGTTAGTCTACAGTGGATGCAGTCATCTTAAAAATAGGTGTTTTGACATTCTTAAAACTAGATGAGGCACCCTTCAAAACAAAGCCTTAAAAACACCTATTTCTCTTGCTGTCTCATCTAGTTCTGAGAATGCCACTGACGTGTGAAAGAAAAATAAGCATCATGTACTATCACTATAGAAAACTATGACTTGGGTTAAAGATAATAAACTCCTCTCAAGGTTAAAACAAGAGTAATTTCATTTTGATTTCCCAAGTTTTCCCCCTCTAAGATGTCCAAATTGAATAGGATTACAGATTTTTCCGGGTAATAACACTCAACAGATGTGGCTATTTTAACAATGCTTTGTTTCATCAATGTAATTATAATCTTTCATTTCCAATTATTGATGCACTTCACTTAGACAACTCTCCTTCGAAATGTCACCTAAATTACCCCATGTCGATACTTTACTATAGATAAAGATAGGCAGGAGACATAGTGGTTCTATGCCCATGATGTAGTAGCATACATGAAGTTCTTATATAAAATGTTGATTTTATATCACAATTTGAAAATTTCTCTAAATGAAAGGCCATCCTTGGCTCTGTAAGTCAAGAAATTCTCTTTTTAAAACCACTCCCAAATCTATTCCAAACAGCCTGAGAAACCACTCTACATAAAAATCAGTATGGTTTGATTTTTAACAATGTTAAGTCAAAGTGAAATTTAAAAATTGTATCAGCTGCTTATAAGGACCAAGTAGCAAGTAGGATACGGTAAGTATAAGGCTCTTTATCACTGAATGAATTCTAATGCCTCCCACTTCAAGTTTCCTATCACATACACATAAGCTTGTCACTAAGCTATTCATGCATGTAGCTTATCTTCAAACTATTAAAAATGTACCTAGTAAACTAGTAAAAAGTAGATTTCGCATCGTATGCTTTTTGTATTCTGCACAATGTCAATCATAATGTCTTTCTCATAGATTGCAACAGAGAAGTATTTGTTGGATCAAGAATGAAAAAAAAGCAAACAGTTGTGAGGCACATCTATGACTTTACATGAAAAGAGGAAATAATAGCTTGGTTATAGATACAACTTAACAGTTGGGCAAAATAAACAGCTCTCCCACAATTAACTGAGAAAAGTGTTCTTAAGTACTTAATCTGAGCTTCAGAAAGTCCCTTGCGATGCTATCTAGGTACTGGGTTTTTCATACAATTGGGAAATAAAATGGAATGCCCTCTTGTGGTGCCAGATACATGAGGCCTGACTTCCACAGTGAATCTTGGGTCTCCTTGTTTTCTATATGTTAGATTTTTCCCCCTTTCCCCAGAATGTTGAAAAAGAAGCTTACTTCTCTTGGTTTTTAGTGATGATCAGAAAAAGATAAATGTGCAAACTGTTTGCCAAAAAAAAAAATCAGACATTATCAAATGAATTCACATTAATTTTCCTTTATACCATAAGCAGAACTTTGAGACTCTTTTGTCACAAATGATTATTATTTGTGAAAGATTTAAAGACATCGTTTGCTTCAGTAGACTTTAAAAAGCTTGTGAGAAAGGGGAAGTTCTGTAATATAAATGCCCTTCCCTTCTGCGGGACAACCCAGATCAGATTCCATCTCCAGGGAAAGGCAGGCCACTCCAGCTTGGAGGACTTTCCCTCCTCTGACTTTTAATTGCACTTGCTATTTGTATCATTTGTTTGACTCTTCTCTCTCCAGCTGTGCATAAAGGTGCAGATAGTATCTTTAGTTCTTTAGATCTTCCTCTCTGTCTTCAGAAAGTGGCTACCTAGCAAGTTTTGATTGATATACAGTGGGTAGGCAAGAAAAAATGCCACATCTTTAAAATTTCAAATTTTATTGCTTTTATTTCTTAGTTTATGGCAAAAACATAGATTTTCCTGCTCCTCTAAAAATATTTAAATATTTTACAATGTAAATAATTTATTAAATATTAATACATTTATTTAATATTTAAATAAAGGTACGTGCCTAGAAATGTTAGCTACACTGGAGATAAATATGGCAACCTAAAAAGATGGGAAAAAGCTATTTCCTGAACTTTTCAGAACTGTGTGCTACTTTTAGCATACGTATGCACCATGAGGTGCATTGCCATCTTAGTCTTCATGATTTAGAAATATTATAAGTACACCTAATTGTGCATATTTACTTAGGTTCCTAATTTCATAGTTTCCCTGTCTCCTTCACTGGGTGGTAAACTGCGGGAACAAGGCACTGGTGGTGTCTTTAGTTTAGAGCTGTAGGAAAAACACATGATTTGGAGCTGACCCATCTGGATGGCCTCAGGAAGTGGTTAATCTTTTCAAGTCTAATTTTCTCATCTAAAAATTGCGAAAAGTGACACTGCATTCCAGATCTGTGATAAGGATTCTCAAAAGTGCAGATAAAGTACCTTCTACATAGTAGATGCTCAACATACAGTAGCTATCATTACTCCCTTTTACAAATGCTGTTAACAGTACTTAAACTATAGCTTTGCATAGTCCATACTCACTGAGCGGGTAAAGGGAAGAAAACACTGAATGTCTAATATGGACATTGTTTTTCTATGAGTGTCAGCAAAAACCATAGCTGTCATTTCTTTTGTACTCAAAAAATACTTCACTGGAGATAAGCAGGGAGAACAGATAGAGACATTATACTGGACCATAAGCAAGTATGTATTACTATAATATACTCTGGTTCTCAAGCTCTATATTACTCATAGCAGAAAAGGCACATGGAGAAATCTACGGATGGGGGAGCTGCATTTCTTTATGACCTTATTTGAAAGATAAACTCCTTGGGGAAATACAATTTATTCAGATTATCAAGACCCCGCTGTGCAAATCTACAGTCTGGGAGCACACTATGGAGATCAAAAAATATTTACTTTATTCTGTTGGGTATAAAAGCTTTTAATGAATGCATAATTAAGACAAAAAAGTGTATACGGCTTTAGAAATTCCACTGCTGAGCCAAGCCATTAATATCCAAGGCACCATACCCAGTTGTGATTCCACCTGTTTCCTATTTTGATTACAACTGAGTTATAAATCAAGGTATTATGTGACTACCTAACCTGGTGCTGCAGGAAAGGTTGGTACTCCAGGAGTAGAGAAAGCAACATAAAGGGGGCTGGTGTGGATGTGCGGTAAGGTCTGGCCTTTGGAACAGGTTGAAACAAACCAATAAATAAACAAAATCCAAACCTTTTAATAGCCTTGGGATCAGTTATATAGGAAAGAAGTTATCATGTTTATTGTGCATGTGAAGGGCTCTGTGAATTTTCTCAACATTGTCATAGAGTTGATAGGATAAAGTCTAATTGTTATAGAAGAAAAAATGAGCAATTCATTGACAATGCAGGCCAGATAACTTGTAATATGATAAAATAATCAAACTCAGATATGTTTATATGTATAAACATACAGAGAGATATAGGCATATTTTGTATATAAATATGTAAATATGTATGGACAACTGTATGTAATGATATATTCAAACATTGATATGCATATGTATATGATACAATTTGATTAAATGAAAACAAAGTATTAGCAGCAATTCAAAAGTACAAGGAAAACTCCAGCATGCTCTAATTTTTGGAGTCTTGCAAGGCCTATTTAAATACATTTGTGCTGTGTAACAGAGGAATTCTACAATTAGGTTACTAGTACATTTTCATAATCAATTGTATGCATAATACCCAAGGCTCATGAATAATTTTATATTGTTCCTTGGGAAATTCTCTAGTAAGCTGGAAATCTAGTAGGGAGGAAGTGAAACATAGCCGTCAACAATAACTAATAATTCTGGCCCCAGTCACTACGTGCTGCAAAATGCTGTTTCAAAGTTCACTAAACCTGACTCAGCACGTAAGGAGATTGCCAATGAATATGGAATATATATAAGAAATTAATATATATATATATTTTCTTTTAATTGAAAATAGTTTATCTGAGCAACTAGGGTTTTAAAACTAAAATTTCAATAACTGTACTTTTTGAACCAGGATAGGCAAAATCAGTTTAAAAATGTTTAAAAGAATAGTATAGAAGTCATTATCATCTATTTCCCTACTTGCTCTAGTACACAAAGTCAGATTGCTGAAAATTAGCCCAGTACTGCAGACTTTAAATCATCCCTCAGTATGTCAATCATAACTTAATAAAGTAGTTTTTTTGTTTTTTTTTTTTAAATCCCTCACTTACCTACAGACTGTCTTAATCATTATTACGAATAAGAGTGAGACCTGGAAGGTTTTTTTGTTTGTTTGTTTCAGATTTGCATTATTTTCGCTTTTTATCTTTTGGATGCTATGAAGCATACATAGCATCAATATCTTTATGTTACTAGGAGCAATTCAAATTCATCTAAATGTGACAAATACACTTTCAAAATCTGAATATCAGTGACTTAACAGTCAGGTACTTGATAAAAAGCAGTGTGGCAACAGAATCTAGAGCGGGAGTTCTCAAACTGTGCTCCCTAGTTCAGACATCAGCATCCCTCAAAACTTGTTAGAATACAGGTTCTTAGGCCCTCCCCAGACCTCCTGAAACAGGAACTCTGGAGTGGGGCCCAAGCAGTCTGTTTTAGCCATCCATTCAGATGATTCCTTGCATAATCAAGTTTAGGAATCATTACTCTGGAGTATGCATTTCAGTGAAGACAGGAATGACTCTGTCCTGCATAAATATACTGTTGCAGCAAACAAACTGTGTGACCCGAGGCCTTCAACTGTGCCTCTGAAGTAGGCAAACGTTATACTGAATGTTCAGGACTGAGGCCAGGGTATCTGGAGCCAAGTCCATGACACAGACAAGCAGCCACTTCCTAGGGCCTGTGGCACATGCCCCTTGATGTGCAGCAGGAAAAAGGTTGGTAGCCTGGTCTAAAAGATACTTGTGGATAGACAGTGAGGAAGAGGGGAAGAGAAGTCTCCACCCCTTCACACTCCTTTCCTTCCTCTGGAAGGAAAGCCAGAGGAAAGAAAGACAGCTGGAGGGAAATGAGACACATGGATAGCATTCTCCCAGTAAGGAAAAATTCAGATTTTTTTTCTTTTAAATAAATACACAGTTTTTATGTTCCCTAGTCAGGAAGCATAGGATATCATGCAACTTTATAATCAAAGTTTCTATCATAGGGAGCTCTTATGGTACATGCAGAAGGAATCCAATCAGACAATATGTGTTTCTAAGTACCACCATGCACTAGAACTAGAGATGAAAGACTTTTCCAATTGTTTCTTGGATTCTGTATACCAGGATGGAGAAAGATGTTTTAATTATAGAAAGGGCAGGGGAAACAATACAACAAAATTTTCTGTCTACAAAGTGTCAATACCATGTATTGTGTTGCTTTTGTCAAAGCATTATTTTATTATTTATTAAAGTACAATTTCAGTATGATGTTTTCAAATTTCAGAGGCAGAAAGAAAGTGACGGTTCATTTAATTATTTGTGGCTTCTAAAAAACAATGTATGCATTTCAGCAAAATCAAAGAGAAGTGGCTAAGAGGAAGAATATCTTTTACAGAATGGTGATTATTCCCCAAAATTTCAGGAACAGATTTGTCCAATAGGTTGTCAATTTGAAGTAGGCAGAAAATTTGCTGACATTTCCAGAAATGAGGGAAGACAGGGGTGAGGGGATTGGGTAGGAGGATAACTGTGGAATTAATAGAGGAATTCACAGGTGAAGCACCACATTATATCGGCTCTGGTTTATAGAGCACTCACCGATGTAGGATACTGTGTTTGTAAGATACTTTGCATGCACTATCTCATTGAATCCTTCAACATCCCTAAAAGGTAGACTGTATATAGGATACCATATCTGTATTTCACAGATGAGGAGTTGGGGGGCAAAGAGGTTAAGTAACTTGTCCGACATCACACAACTTTGGGACATAAACTTATGTCTTGGGGAGACAGATAAGTAAATTAACACAAACAATATGGCCTCCCAGAAGATTGCCCATAATTAAAGAAGAGGAGGAAGATATAATTCCAACTGAGTAGATTGATCAGGCAACTCTGGAAGAGGAGACAATGTGAGCCAAGTACTTGAAAGTTAAATAGGAATTCAGAAGGTGACAAAGTGAGGGAAAAATAATTCACAGAAAAGGAGGTTTCGTATGAAGAGGATTAGGTACAGGGAAATGCACAAAGTTCATAATGACTGTGGAACAGGCATTGCACATGGGTAGTAAATTGTCAAAAAAAAAAAAGCCAAAGAGATAGCACATTTCATAATAAAGACAGGCCCTGTGTACCAAATTAAAAGGAGTGAACCTCATCCTGAAGACTATGTGAACCACATTCATCATAATGAATAATTTTAAGCAAGGATATGACATGATCAGGTTGTGATTTTTTTAAAAAATCAATCAAACAGAATTTTTCATGGATTAAGAAAACTTTTCAAAATCTATCAAACAGAATTTTGGAATTCTGTACTGGAATGGGGCAAGAGGGAAAGCAGGTTCATCAGTTAGCAAGAAGTTGCTTTAGTCCATAAAATAAGTAATGTGGATCTGATTGAAGACAGTAGTAGTGGAAAGAGAGACAATGAGAGAGATTTAACAAGTTAAGGGGGTGGGGCTGAAAGGTCTCTGTGTCAGTGTATGTGGGGCTCAAGGAGATGGGAGATTCTAGGATGACTCCTGGTTTTCTGGCTTGGGTTCACACTCAGAGAGGTCATGTGCCTGAGAAATACCCAAGCCGAAGTGTAGACTAGGCAGCTGGCCTGGAGCTAAGACAAGCTGTCCATGGGGTACAGTCAGAATAGGGTACATTATAGAGACAAGAAATAGAAAGGACATGGTTCTGCAACCAAAAGATGGAAAGCTAGCTTGGATTTTAGGGAAAGAAATTGTTTTGTGGACCAGACAAATAACTTAGATTGTCCAGTGTTGATTAGCATTAGACTACAGGCAGGGAGCGCAGCTGAGTTATTGCAGGGCAGTCCAGGAAAAATAGTCCCAACCCGAATGACGTCAATGACAAGGAGGAGAAAGAGAAGGTAGCATATCTGAGAAAGATTTAAATGGCTAAACCAACACTATTTAGTGGAATTCATGAGGTCTTGGCAGAGTGTAAGATTATGCCAAGGTTTGAGTGACTAGAAAGATGATGGTCCCTTAACAAAGACAGGGAGGATGAGGAGGAACAGGTGTGTGAGACTGGGCAAAGGCGAATTTGGGCAGCATGTGGCATATCAAGTGAAATGCTGGCTGAACATACAGGGCTGGAGCTCAGGAGAGAGGGCTGGAGTCAGTAACCCTCCCCAGATGCATGAAAGAGAGTGATAGTGAGCAGAAGGGAAGGGTGCCCATGCAGAGCTCCCATGCTTTGAGGGACAGTCAAGGAGCTAATGGAAGAACACTTGTAAAGGTATTGAAAATGAGTAGGAGGAGAATAGGAGAGAGCCCCGAGAAAGAGAGGAGCAGGAAAGAATGCAGCTCCCGGTGTTTAAATGCTGTAGAGGAGTCACTTAGGATACCACAAAGGCCTGCTGCATCAGACAATAAGGAGGCTTTGGTGACCTTTGTTGGAAGAACTTTTGAGGAGTAATGAAGGCAGAACACTGAGTTCAATGGGCCTGAAGAATGAACAGGAGGTAAGGAGTGAAGACACTGGGTACAGTTGGGTAGTGAGGGCAAGGAGCAGCTGCGGTAATGAGAGATGAAGAAGAGTGTCTCCTGCCTTATTGATCCTATTTATAAACTGAAAGAAAAGTGCCAGTAAAGTAGGAGAAATCAAAACCAGAGGAAACACAGGGCGTAACTGATGGAATAAGGAGCAGAAAGGTGGTTTAGCTTCAGGAAAGAGGAGAGACATTTCACCATGACTAGAAATATTTACAGATGGGTGGGTGGGAGAATAAATATCTCAAATGAAACACAGATCTTCTTTTACACACCCCCCACCAATTTCCAAGTATTAATAATGGAACTCAGTGAGATTGATGTTTGTTTGTTTTGATTATTGATTCTGAACTCTAGCATGAATAAAATCCTGGAAACACTTCATTTTTAAGAAGAAAAATGCATACTGAAAGTGATTTTAAAATCACCCAGCTGACAACAGTTAGCTTAGGTTTGAAATGACTAATATTATTAGTGAACTCTTTCAAGAGATATTCTTTCAGGAGAATCTTTCTCCTCTTTAAAATCCTCACAAACGAAGATACAGTCAATCCTACATTATCCATATAACAGATTAAAATGCTGAAATGACTTCCCTGGCCAGCCAGTGTGCCTCTGGGCTGTCGCTTCCTGACATCCTTTAGTGTGGGCTTAGGGAATAAAAGCCAACATAATAGCATATGAAAAAAATTAATTGGGACCCTAAAATGGCTACTGCAGATCTTATGATGCATTTCAAAGCCAAATATGAATGTTATTTGGCAAATATGATATTCTGGATTACCCATGCCAGATAGCAAATACTCTTGATTAGAACAAATAATTACTAGTTGGCTATGATTTAATAGGTCTGATACATTTCCACCCTTTTTGATCATTTTCGCTGATTAAAAATAATCCAAAAGATTAAACCACTTGTAATATGTTTTCCAAACTTTGTACTTTAACTTTCTCCAAACACAAAAGCCTCAGCTCTAGTGAACTATGGAACAGCACTCAGTGCATTTGATTATGAGTATATTAAATATATATGTTGGTACAATCATTTGTCTTCTCTAATGTGGGAAAAAATGGTTCAGTGTTGAAGAAAAATGAACATGAGTTATAACTTCTCCTCAATCTTGAGGAGAAGTTATTGTCTTCAGAACACCCACTATATATTATGTATTTGGGTGATACTCTTAATTTAATAATTAAAATTATAATAATACATTGTTTAGAAGAGATAACCTCCTATAAGTCATTGTAGTATTACTTAATTAAAAATGATAATCTATTATAATACTGTAAAATATGTGAGCTCCTCAGTGTCAAATTTAATCCCCGAAGAAAGTATTTTTAACAAAAAAATGTATTCAGTGGGCAAAACTAATGAAAGGCTGGTAGTATATTTTTCCTACTATAACATAAATTTTAATATTTAAAAAGCAGAGAAAAATTACTTAATGGAGGCACCTTTCAATCCCTCAGTACATAATGAACTCCCACGATGTGAAGGGAGGGAGGGTATAAGGCATAAAATCAGTATAAGGTGTGATCCCTCTGCTCGAAAGCCCCACAGTGTAACTGGAGGTGGTGAGACATTTTCCAACTACATTAAACCATGTGCAGAATGATGCAAAAACAGCACTCAGATACCTTCAGCCCTGATGTAGGTATTTCAAGAATCTAGTGCTTCTCAGAATTGAAAGTGGAAACATAGTTTCTTACTGAAATTGCCATTGGTACAAAAAAAAAAAAAAAAAGGAACAAAATCACCCAGAATTCTCCTTAACTCCCTAGTGAGAGAATAGCATTTTTTAAACCTTTGTACCTTAACTGAAGAGAGAAAATAACTAATTTTCACTGTAGCCCACTTAGTGTAAAATTTAACGAAGACAAGGGATGCTGAGTAAACATCAGTTACAGAGAAGGAGATTTAGGGCAGGACCCTTTCTCCCTCCTGTTCCCTTTATGTTCCTCCTTGGCTTCTGAGTGAAGAATAGTAAGAATTTGGGCTTTGCTTTACTCGATGATCCACATGTGCACGCTGTAAACAGAACAATGCCTTCAATCTGAGGAAATGATCTTTCATGCTGTAAAAACAGAAAACAAAACAAATGCAACAGACCCCCCCCTTCTCTGTTTCCCTTACAATGATAAAATGCTCTACCTATCGCCCTTGCGTCCCAGCCTCTCACATCCCAGCAGCACGCCTCCTCTTGCAGGTCACGTCTTTCACATAAAAGTGCTAAACTAATGCCGCTTAATGACAAATTAATGTCCATGAATAAAAAATACACCTCTAATAGCATAGAGTAATTTGCCATTACAATATCATCATTGGACATGCCCCTGGTTTAATACGATGTATTTAATTCATAACCTAATGAGTGATATATAAAAAGAGGGAGATGAACCCTGCAATTACATTTATGTGAGTCTGTCACCTTATTTGTAAAACCTTAGAGTCATTTACATTCAAATTAGAACAAATGAGTGATTTCACAAAGTGTGCTGATAAATGACCACAGCAGCCCAAGACAAAACTGTATTTCCTGTGAACACATTAACAGTTTCCTATTATTTGTTAAAAATTACAGTGCATATTGCCCAGTGTGGTGTGAATAATGACTTTTTTACTGATTAGGTCAGAAGACTAATATGTAGCAAAATAAATAATTTTTCTTTTCATTATTTTTTCTGATTTTTGCTTTAAATTAACTACTGAATTCTGGTGGATTCACACTGCCACCTGCTGTCTAGCAATAGATATTAAACCTATATTCCTATCAAAAAGGGAGTTGCGTATTCAGTACTTTGGTGGTTTTATTTGAAAAGTCTACATGATGGTTCTGTTTATCAATACATTTAAATTGCATATTATTAAAAAGACAATGATACTTGGTGCACATAAAGAATGGTTGTTAATAAAACAATATAATATGCTTGGGCAAGGTGATACAAAATGTATAAACTTTTTTTTTTCTTTTTTGGAAAGGTAACGGCAAAAAAGAGACATCTTCATCAAAGCTTCTGATGCATCACTTGCAGGAGATGTAACACAAAATTCAGTTGCCAATATTCCTGATCTTATGGCATTGTGCATCAGCAGAGGTGATGGTGTGTGTATGTGTGTGTGTGTGTGTGTGTGTGTCTGTATGAAGTTTTCCCCATTCCTACCCCTTGGTACAATCTAAAGGGGACTGAGAGGCTCTGCCCGCCACTGAGGATATCTACCAATGAATCTTCTCCCCTAATGGCAAGTCCCAATATGAAAACTCTGCCTTAGGGCCCAGAACAAAGCAGGCTAGGAAAGGCACAGTGGCTGGAGATGAAGCCAGGGAGGAACAGGCCTGGCCTTGAAGATGAGGCTAAAGACTTTTGTGGGAGAAATAATGCACCTGAATGATGATCAGGGTAGCTAATGAAAGTTTTCAAGCCAGATCAACATCCTAGTTCTGAATTTAAGTTTCTCCATCTGTAAAAAGAAAACAACACCCACCAGTGTTAAGGGGTGACTTAGCAGTGGAAATGGGAGTCCCTGCAAAACACTCAGCATGGATAGGCCCTCAATATATGTGGTTCCCTTTCTTGGGAAAGATAGTGATGGTCTGGGGGCCATGGGTTACCACAGATTGAGGCTAGAAACAAGCAGACTGCTCAGGAGGGTACTGTAACCTATAGACAAGATTAATGGGAGCCTAAAGAAAGGCACCCCCCCATCAATTAGCATTAAATACATTGCCCAGCTTTCCTTTTTCCCACACACATGCTTTGAGAACCTGTGAGAAGGCTAATTAGGGGGCTAATTAAATAGCTGTCCTCATTGACACAGAGGAGCACTGCTCCTGCCATGTGGGGTTCCTTTTCTCAGCAGCCTGCCAGAGGAAATGAAAGAGAAAGGAGCCCACACAGTGCCAGGTATCCCTTTCCTTTTCAGGAGGGCAGCAGCACCATTTACATGTTCACAGGAACTGCAGGATGGTGAGGCTCAGGGAGCTTCCACCAACGGTTTCCCTTGGAGCTGCTTTGTAGTGAGCACTGGAGGGCAATGGTATATTTGAGCCGGTCTGCCCTTCACTCCTCTGGCAGAGAAACCAAAGAAAGAATGGCATTTTAAGAACAACAAAACAATACCAGACATCTTAGTGAAGAGAGCGGTTTCAAAAACTCCTAGTTGACAAAGTACCACACAAAGATAGAGAATATATCAGCATTGATTGAAGGGGCACAATTCCTGGGTACATTTTAAGCACTGGGAATTTTTCACATTAATAAAATATTATTTTTATATACTCAATGAAATAGTCCCACATTAAATTAAAAATCAGTTGAACAATATTACCAAAACACAGCAAATAGATATAGCTATGGAGACTATATCAAAATATAAAAGTAGATTGAATTGACCCAGTCTGTGATTTTTATAATCCTAAGAGAGAAGCAGGGTATATATATTTTTTAAAGGCTGAAATAAGGAAGGTTTCTACGTCGACATGATTTTGATACTCATATAGTCAAAATTTCCTTCTACAAGTTTGACATCTTGCAATAATCACAGATAAAAAGAAAAAGTAAAGTTACATGACAAAATGAAAACATTTGTGAAAAGTCAGTGAAAATTTCAACCACTATTCAAGAAGCCTGAATAATAACGGTCCACAAGCATGTATGCATGCTACACTTTTACCTCAGCACAATAATGAAATGCAGAAGTTAAATTCCAAAGTATACAAGTCACTTAGTATCTCAACAGATCACCCATCTGATGGGATAGAGGAAAATACCCATGGACCTTTAATGTTCATCTGGAATTCTCACTTACAGAAAATTATAGGCTTAGGTATACCCACACACCCCTGCATATACACACCATTTATAATGTACATCATGATAACTAACGCTCTAACCAAACTGTGTCAGCATGCATCACTGATTACTATCTGCCATGGGGAAAGTGAATCAGGTGATGATGCGTAAAGCCCAAGTTGCAATATTTGATGTAGAAATGTCAAATAAAAGTAATTTTAATTTCACAAGTCAAACACACACTTTTGAAGTCTTATAACCTTTCTACATGATTCCCATTTGCTACAGGCAGAAAGGGATTAAAAATAGCTTTCCTATACCACGTAACAATATTGAGAGGAAAAGAAAGGAAAATAAGGTAAAAAAAAATCATTAACCATTTACTGTTAGATTAAATGTGCTCAAATAATCATAAGAATTCCATAAACTGTATTTGAATTTTCCTCAGGTGAACATGGCTGACCTTCCTCACACTGTCTCCCTGGGAAGTGCTGGTTCCTATTTTCCAGGGTTGCTGGGAAGATTAAATAAGATGCTAGATGAGAAAGAGCTTTGTAAACTACCTAAGAGGTAACAGAAGTCAATGATAAAAGTATACATTTAAAATTACAGAAAGTGATTTAAAAGGAAAATAAAGTAATTGGGCAGGAAAACAAAACTTTTCTGCTCACTAATATCATGTCATATGCACAAAGATAGTGGAATTAAATTGTGTGATGAATTTATTATTTCTTCAAATTAATTTTTTAATGCTATAATAAATGCAAGTGAAGGTGACACCAGTGGGGGAAGTGGGAGGATCCTAAAATTGCAAATTAGTTAGTAACACTCTATAAAGTCCAAGAGACTCATAGCCATGCTGTCTGCCTAAGATGCCCCACAGACTCCTACCTAACAAGAAGTTTTCATCCAACCAAGAAATGGTCTTTGGAATCAGAACGTCCTACCAGCCATATTGCCTCAGACAAGTTGGATATATTTTGAGTCTCTGATGTTTTAGATCTATAAAAATGGGCAAAGTTATTGTGAGGACTGAATGTGAAACAACTGTGAACACACAGTCAGTGCTTGGTGTTCGGGGGTTTTCTCTCCCTCCTTCTCATGGGGCCTTTCCTGACCAGCAAATCAGGGAGGAATACGCACATTACTCATCCCTTCTCCGGCATTTACTGCCTGGGAAGTTCACATGGTAATTAATTACATAGGACTTTGTGATTTACTAGATACTGTTACTGAAATCTTCAATGACTATTAGACTTTTCTTGCATTTGTGATTATTTCCATAACCAGACAATATTGCTTCGGACTAGGACTCCTTTTAGCGACACCTCCCCCGGCTCCTGCAGGGAACCCTGTGCATGGTCACTGAGTTGATCGGCTGCTCAATGGTCGTGGGGACCTAAGGTGGGCAGGACAGTGGAGGAAGACTCCTGCTTCTGTGATTGGATGCAAGAGCTGCAGCCGCCCTCCTAGGAACTTCTCAGCTTGTGTCCTGGAGAAACTCTACTACCACAGCCCACACCCCACCCCCACTTTACCTGTCATTCAGCTCCAGTTGTTGGGGGCCAGCTTATGACTGTGGGGAAAGGAATGTGAAGGGTGTATGAGCAGGATGCAAGCTCACATACCTGGATGAGATAGTGGGAGCATAAATTGAGAAGCTCCAACAGCTGTAGGTGACTGCCCGCTGCTAGCACATCCTGGATCACACCTGGCTCCAGCAAAATCTGTTTTGTTTGTTAACAAAAATAAAACTATCAGTTACACTTAAAAATATAATGCTGCTTAATATGTAGATATACCATAGTATATTTAAATTGCTGCTTTACGTACTCTATTTCAATTAACACTGTTCCTTTTTATGGAAGTCAGTTCTTCTCTTCCTGTTCTGATTAATGAGCTGTGGCCCTTACTCTAACAGCCAATTTTTCTCTTTACTGCATGTGCTGATACCATTTGTGTGTGTGAAGCTCTGCACTTAACCACTTATTTTTTTGTAGAAGGGTATAAACATTTTCAAAGAAAAACATAACCCTCTTAAAATTCAGTTTGTGATATAATCTTATAAAATGCAAAAGAACTGAGTTTTAGTTTTTCAAAGTATATTTCAGAATTTTGCTCTTTAGTAGACCACAGAAACAGGTATTTTAGGGAAAGGGGCATATGTTTCTCCTTGCCATATAAGACCAGAGGTGGATATTAGTCCATTTTACTTCTAAGTCCTACAACAGTAAGCTTCATACGCAAACTTCCATTTTCCTCTTTCTCAGTCTCAGATTCTCTTATCCTTTCTATTTAAAATAAAGGAGGTTCAACTAGCATTTTCAGAATACAAAGACATCACATAGAGGTAATGCCTCCCAAGTATCCTGGTGATACCAATTTTTCACTTTGTTAAGTCCAATTATCTACCTACTGCTGCCAGCTCTTGAGCAGCTGATCAGGGCTGGAAAAAAGGCACACGACCATGTTGACAAAATTCACATGAATTACTGCCAGGTGCAAGGAGGCCTTTAGTGATGCCCCAGCCCTCCATTCTAACCCATTTCCCCAGCCCAGTGCTTCCTGAATCTGGTCTCTGGACCAGCAGCATTGGCATCACCTAGGAACTTATTAAACTGCAAACTCTTGGGAGCCTCCCAGACATACTGAATCAGTAAGTTTCAGGGTGAGGCAACTAGTGTTTTTAACAAGTGTCCTGAGTGGCTCTGATGCACAGGGAGGCACTAGTCAATTCACCCCTCCACTCTACTACTTCAGCACGCTCCTTTCTCAAGCCTCCAACTCCTTCTCTGCCACTGGATTTTCACTTCATGATCTTTGAAAACCTCTTACCACCAAATCTACCAACCTATCTACCTACATCTGTATCAGTACCTTTTGCTCTCCCCAACAGTCCACTTGTGTGCTTGATCCCAACCCCTTCTGCCTGCAATTCTCCCCTCTTGTTCCTGCATCACTATAGGTTCTCTTTCTACTGGATGGTAGGTTTGAAAACCTCAGGGTCATTCTTGACTCTTGTTTTCCTTAGGCCTTATATCGAATCCATCAGCCAGTCCTGCTGGTTCTATCTTCAAAATAGTTTCGGAATTCAATCACTGCTCATGACTTCGATAATCACTGCTTTAGTCCAGTCCATTCCTCTTCCTAAACTTAACTGTAATCACCTCCTAGCTAGTTGCACTGCTTTCTCCTTTGTCCACTCACACTATCTGTTTTAATAATATCAACCAGACTGGTTCTTTAAAACCACAAATGAAATCATGTCACTGTTTTTATTCAGAACTTTCTGAAGACTTTCCATCTCCATGAAAATAAAATCCAAAAAGTCTCCACTATAACCTAAAAAGTTATTGAATATGCTGAGCACCTTGGTGTTTACAACTAGTTGTTTGCTCTGCCTGGGCCACTCCCTCATATACTTCAGATAACGTCTTACCTGAGATACCTTCCCTGACCATCCTATGTAGAACAGTAACCCACCCCTGAACAGCCATCATTCCCTAGCTCCTAACTTTGTTTTATTCTTCACCATAGTGCTTACCACCTCACATTATATATCTTTTTGCCTATTTGCTAATTTTTCTCTGCTCAGTATAAGTTTCAGGAGAGCAGGGACTTAGTCTATTTTGTATCCCCAGCACTTAGAACAATGTTCAGCACACATAGCTGTTGCTCAATATTCATGAAGTTACTTAATTAAAATGCTAATGAATTAATTGATCTCTACACATGTTTTTTATTCAGAATCAATTTTAACTAATTTTATAAGAAAGAAAAAAGGACTCTATATTTCTAAGTGGCAAAGTAAAGAAGTGAAAAAGTTAAGCACATGTGGCAAAAATACCAACACTCATCTTATTCTGAAAAATCTTTATATCTCCTTTTCCATCTAGTCAGAAAGAGAAACCCGTCTTTCGCCAACTCCTCAAGGAAGGAGGCTTTGACTGACATTCACGAAATTAGTGCAGCTCCCATCAGAGGAGCAAGGATGTTGTATAGTCTTGCAGAAGAGGCATGGCCTAAGGAGGAGAATGGGGAATAGATGGATTAGAAAGGTTGGTTTAGCCTTTAAATCCTGTCAGTTGCGCTCATTTCACACAACTGGTATTTATGATAACCTCCAAGGCTCACTAATAGCAAACACAAAGACAGTGATCACAGAGAGACAAGATGAATATTCCATAGCATGTGTTACATGTCCAGCAGGCTGACTTCCAGAAGCCTGCACATGAAAAACCCATACGGCGATTGTTTTTGTCTTTTTTTATTTTTTGTTTTGTAGTTTTTTCCTTCCACTCATTATAACATAAGTTTTTCTAAAATATGCTTTAGCACAGAAAATCTCTAAGTGCTCTTAAAGGGTTGGAGAAAGAAACCCTACCAGGACAGCTGTTCTCACTTATGGAAACAGAACCAGTGTTTGCAAACCTCACTGTACCAGAGGCTTTTGATTCAGCTTTGTTGCTCTTTGGTGACTGACTGTTCGAATATATTTTTCCAGGGAATTTGTGTTTGGCCAGCAATGAAATCAAAGGTCAAGTCTCCTCATGATTTACAGTGTGGTGAATTTATCTGTCACCTGCCTCGAAGGACTGGCCAAAAGAACAACCTCTGCAGAAAAAAAGGGATCTCAAACACACAGGTTTATGGAGAACAACTAAGACAGCTGCATTTAACTTCTGCCAAGCATTATATTTAGGTATTTCAGAAACATACCCATCAACATGTAGTCTGACACTCAAACCAGGACAGATAGGAAGAAGGGTGACTCAAGGACCACCTGCAGGAAGGAAGAGATGTTCCCCAAGATCTGAAAGCACACAGGGTGGGAATAGGAGCTAATGTGAGTGGCCTGACACATCCAGTCACTCATCAGTCTGGAGGAGCATATCACAGCTAGAGGCATAAACAGTGGACAAGACAAAATGTCTTAATAACAAGAGATCAAGAAAATGCTAGATACATAAAGCCAAGTGGTCCAGAATCCAGGGGCGGGATGGGGCGGGCTGGGGGAAGTGGGGGGAAAGGAAACCCTAAAAGAAGCCAAACTAGGTTGGGCATTGCCTCTACCCCCAGTGACGCTCACCTGCTTGGGTGGAGCTCACCTGTAGAGCTGGGGCTTCTCCAGATTTGCAAACAGGTTTTGATGCAACCAGGAGCAAACTTAGGTGGGGGCATGAATGTTTCTTGTTCACAGAACCACCTGTATAGAGGATTCTTTCCCCGCCTGACCTCCAGGTGGTGGAACACAAGGGGCTGTTCTCGAATGAGGGATGTTGGACAGTGCTAGCAGAGAGGTCACCTCTAGTCTCACCTCACCAAGTAATGAGATGATCACATCTCATTACTTGGGTCTGGCCCAGGAACATCTCCTGCAATTTGTAGCAGGCAAGGTCATATGAATAAGGAGAGGGCCACGACTGATTCCCATTCCAAATGCTGAAACTCTACACTCATTTTGGTGGGGATAAGAACCGACCAGTGGCTGTATTTAGGGTGACACAGAATGGTGTGACAAAGTAATAGTGTAAAACCCACAAGTGCAGGAGAAGGGGATGGGTACCTGGTAGGAGAAATTATGTCAGAATTCAGTCATGAGGTGGCCCAATCACCCTCCTGGTAGGAGGCACTCTTGAATACTGTGTGCCAACATGTCCTCTGGTCACCAATCCAAGCAGGGTTGGTAGCAGACAGGAGAATTTGCATGATCTCCAATGAAGACCCTCTAAACTGCAATAAGACTGGGACTCCTGGTCTCCAGGCAGAATATGGGGCCAGAATCCGGTGAAAGAGGAGGAGAATGGGACCTGAGGTGAGATTCTGTATAGAGCATGATGACGTGGGCCACCTCAGTCAGTGCCCACACCTCACATGGGGGCTCTGGGAGGGTGGAGCTGGGACTGAGCGGTGGGAGTAGGGACACCCCACAGTCCCCAGGGCATCCCTGCCCCTCCTTCTTCAGCTCATCCTCCTGGATCATCAGATGTCCACTCTCTCAATTCTGTCTTCTTTTTCTCTTTATTTTCCCTCTCCCTTATACCTAGCCTCTTGGATTGGTGGCTGGTAGGGACTGTCTTTAACAGCCATGGTAAGTCTCAGTGTGACCTTTTTTTTTCTCCTGCCTGTGATCAAGTGAGTTGGCATCTTCAGAAAATTTTGTATCTTCAGATCTTCAAAGCTATCTTCTTCATTTCTTGCATAAGGAGATTTTTTAATTACCTGCTTCTTGGTCTATGTGTACAGTGGACTGAAGGATTTGAGCATGTTAAAATCAGACAACTAAGGTCTTTAGTAAACACACATACCATGTGTGCACATGAACAACACGCTTTTGCAAGCAAAACAAGCGCTTGTACAACTGCAAATTAGAGTGGTCTAATACCATTTATGAGAATAAATGATTACATTTCCTCCCTTCTTTATAGTTTGTTTCTTTGGTATTTTTTTTTTCCTGTATAGTATTACAGAATGGCAAATTATCAGAATCTTGAATTTATAATCATCAAATGAACTGGATACAACAGCATAAATAGCTGTTAAATGATCATATATTCAACACACATAAAATGTTTTGCATAAAGTTATTTATGACAGAATTCTCACAGATGGAACATGAAACACAAGATCTATCTAGCTATGAGAAATTTCTACCAATCTAGTTTTAGTTTCAAAACCACTGCACTAAGGACTTTTTATCCACAAGGTGGCAGCCATTTAAAGGAAAAGAATTTTCTAAATTGACTCATGCACTGCACATCTATATCTGACATCTGAAGTTTATTTTTAAGAAAGAAAAACATAGTTCAGGTAAGGATAATAAAACACATGAATTCCAGTTTCTAAATGTTGTGATCATATTGGGAAATGTTCATAAATATGCCTGTTGAAGTGCTCCATCTGAGCAATACTGGCTAGAATTCAGTAGTTCTCTATGAATCAGAGAATTCAAACTTTTGAGGCTTGTATTTGGAAAACCTCACCATGTAGCCCCAACCTGCTGTTAAAAACTTTTCTCCAGTTTTATGACCTTCTGGTCCCTTTGCTAAAGCCAGTAATCTACTAGTCTCCACACTCAGGCAATACCTTGTTCTCCATCTTCAATGTCCTCCTCATTCCTTTAATTTCCATATGTCAAAATCCTACTCATTTCAAGATCCAACTCTAAATCCACTCCTTATACAAAGCTTGGCAAGATCTCTCCCCACCCCTACCTCATCCTGGGTCTCCACAGACATCTGGTGAACTAATAAGCCCATGTGTTCTAGGTCACGCTGTCTGCTTTCAAATCCTGGCTCCTACACTTGCTGACAGAATCAACTTGGGAGAACAGCTCAACTCCAGGTGCCTCAGTGTTCTTATTTGTACAGTGAAAATAATGATGTCTACCTCAAAAACTGTTTTAAGGACCAAAAGAATGCTTGTGTATCATTACAATTGTGTGTGTCTATATGTAACAAAGCAGCTTAAACAAATATAAGGGTTACTTTTCCAATAACATTTGGATTAGGCCACTTAGAGTGGCAACCAGCCTCCTTGTATTTTCCTGCTTGGCAAATCTCAGGCTGTGGTTTCATGGTCTCAAATTGGCTGCCATACCACCAGGCATTATGTCTACATTCAAAGCAGAAAGAAAGGAGAGGTCAAAGAACAAAAAACATTTGCCAGCTGAGTCTGGCATTGTTTATCAGAAAAACAATAGATTTCTTACAAACACTGTTACAGAGACTTCCATTTACATCTCATTGGCTGGGTGGCTACACATAGCTGTAAAAGAGCCTGGGAAATTAAATTTTTATGGCTAGATGCACCATAGTCCCAAATCAAATTAGAGTTCTATATAAAGAAAAAAGAGGAAATGAATATTGGTAGGCAATCAGGGCATTAGCCATGGGACTTAGCACATATATATATGAGGAAAACTACAAAACTCTGATGAGAGAAATCAAAGAAAAACTAAATAAATGGAAAGATGGCCCATGTCTGTGGATAAAAAGGACTCCATATTGTCAAGATGTCAGTTCTTCCCAACTCAATTTATAGATTCAATGTAATCTTATTCAAAATCCCACAGTTATTTTTTGTGTATTAACAAACAGATTCTAAAGCTTATATGAAGAAGCAAAAGACCCAAAATAGCCAACACGATGTTGAAGGAGAACAAAGTTGGAGGACTGACAATACCCGCTTCAAGACTAAAAAAAACTACAGTTATCAAGACAGTGTGACATTGGCAAAAGAAGAGAGAAACAGATCAATGGAACAGAACAGAGAGCTCAGAAACAGACTCACATAAATATGGTCAATGAAAGAGCATAGATAATATTATAGATAATATAATAATAATGGATAAAAGATAGTCTTTTCAAGAATGGGGCTAGATTAATTGGACACTCACATACAAAAATTGAACCTGGACACAGCTCTCAAATCCTTCACAAAAATAAACTCAAAACGGATTACAGATGTAGATGTAAAATGCAAAACTAGAAAACTCTTACAAGGTAACATAGGAGAAGATCTAGATAACTTTGGGTATGACAATGACTCTTTAGATACAGCACCAAAAACATGGTCCATGAAAGACATAATTGACAACTTGGACTTTTTTAAAATTAAAAACTTCTGCTCCACAAAATACACTATTAGGAAATTGAGAAGACAAGCCATAGGCTAAGAGAAAATATTTGCAACAGATACATCTGCTAAAGGAATGTTATCCAAAATATCAAAAAACAAGATCTTAACACTCAACAATGAAAAAAATGAACCATCTGATTTTTTGAAATGGGGGCGGGAGGGGGGTGTAAAAGATCTGAGCGGATACCTCACCAAAGAAGACAGGTGGCAAATAAGCATATAAAAAGATACTCGGCCGGGCGCGGTGGCTCACGCCTGTAATCCCAGCACTTTGGGAGGCCGAGACGGGCGGATCACGAGGTCAGGAGATCGAGACCATCCTGGCTAACACAGTGAAACCCCGTCTCTACTAAAAATACAAAAATTAGCCGGGCATGGTGGCGCGTGCCTGTAGTCCCAGCTACACAGGAGGCTGAGGCAGGAGAATGGCGTGAACCCGGGAGGCGGAGCTTGCAGTGAGTCGAGATCGCGCCACTGCACTCCAGCCTGGGCGACAGAGCGAAACTCCGTCTCAAAAAAAAAAAAAAAAAAAAAAAAAAAAAGATACTCACATAGGAAAACTGCATTTTTTGTACATATTTTGTTAGATTTACGCCTGTTTAATTTTTGGGGTATTAATTTCTAAAAATAGTTTTAACTTTTTAAAACAGTCCCCCAAACCCAAAAGATGAATAATATGTTGTGATACATGAAAATTATATGAAATTCAAATTTAAGTATAAATAGAGTTTTATTATAACATAGCTATGCTTATTCATTTACATATTTGTCTCTGGCAGTTTTCATGCTACAACAGCTAAGTTGAGTAGTTGCGAAATAAACTTTATTTACTTTTTAAAATAGAGACAGGGTCTTGCTATGTTGCCCAGCCTGGTGTCGAGCTCCGGGGCTCAAACGATCTTTCTGCTTTGGCCTCCCAAAGTGCTGAGACTATGGTCGTGACCCACTGCACCCAGCTGTGACAGAAACTTTATATGGCCTGAATTATTTACTGAATTATTTTTGGCTCCTCACAAAAAAAGTTTGCTGATCCTTGGTCTAGAGTATAGGTAGGGGCTGGGAGTCAATAGCATAAGATAATAGCAAGTTATTTGTCAATACCAAATAACTTGGGTCTGGATGACATCACCAAGGAAGCTAGTTGGATTAAACAGGAGGGTTCTGAAGCAGGAAGGATTTGAAGCCTACAGAGTGGGGAGGAGCAAGCAAAGCCACCTGGAAAGGAGTGACGGGAAGGCTGGTGGTGGCACAGAATAAAAGCCCACAGTGAGCAGTGTTACAAAGGCCAAGAGAGAATAGGCAGGCTGGTGGGCCGGGCCTGGTGGCTCACGTTTGTAATCCCAGCACTTTGGGAGGCCAAGGCGGGAGGATCACGAGGTCAGGAGATCAAGACCATCCTGGCTAACATGGTGAAACCCCGACTCTACTAAAAATACAAAAAATTAGCCGGGCGTGGTGGCGGGCGCCTGTAGTCCCAGCTACTAGGGAGGCTGAGGCAGGAGAATGGCGTGAACCCGGGAAGCGGAGCTTCCAGTGAGCCGAGATCGTGCCACTGCACTCCAGCCTGGGTGACAGAGCGAGACTTCATCTCAAAAAAAAAAAAAAAAAGAAAAAAAAAGAAAAAAAAAGAAAAGGGAGGCTGGCTATGCTGCACGAAGCTGTGAGGTCACATATGACAGTATTTAATTAGATTTGGCAATATTTGTGACTGCCAAGAACAGTTTTAGTGGAATGATGAAGATAAAAGCCTCCAGACTTGGAGTGGAAAAGTGAGTGATAAATGAGTGAAAGTGAGGAAAAATAACTTTATGTAACACTTTTCATAAGCTCTGCTGTGAGAAGAGTCAGAGAAATAAGTGGTAGCTCAAGAGGAATATAGAAATAAGAAGGGGTTTTTTTTTTTTTTTTTTTTTTTTTTAGACAGGTTCTCAGTCTGTTACCTCGGCTGGGGTGCAGGGGCACGATATCGGCCCACTGCAACCTCCACCTCCCAGGTTCAAGCAATTCTTTCACGTCAACCTCTCAACTAGCTGGGAGTACAGGCACATGTCACCACACCTGGTTAATTTTTGTATTTTTAGTAGAGACAGAGTTTCACCATGTTGGCCAGGATGGTCTTGAATTCCTGGCCTCAAGTAACCCACCTGCGTTGGCCTCCCAAAGTGCTGGGATTACAGGCATGAGCCACCACACCTGGCAAGAAAAGGATTCTTAAAGGTGAGCAATAGAATGCAGTAGAGGAGAAACTGATGGCAGAAGAGACAGCAGCAGGATAACAGGAGTGATATTGGACAGAGTCGGAGGGAGTGGATCTGGACCCTACGTGGGGGAGATTAGTCTCTGACAGTTCAGGGATACCCCTCCCACTGTAAAAGAGGGATATACCCAGAATAAGTTCAGAAACAGGGAGGGTTGAGAATTTGATGGTAAGATGATGAAGATCTTCCTTTCTGTTTCTATTTTCTCAATGGACGGTGACTTTTCCTTATGATATGTGTACTGGAGGTAGGTTAGTGAGGGGAATGTCTCTAAAAAGAGAAGAGAGAGGGTGAGAAACTCATCAAGAAGAGGAGGAAAGCAAATTTACTAGGGAAACAGATTAACATTGCCTGGCATTGGGTATCTGTCTGAGATTTGGGGTCATGGATTTGAAGTGAAAACAGTGACTTTCTCCAGTGCCAACCAGCAGAATTGATTCTTACAGTTGGATTCAACAAATAATTCTCCAAAGATGCCACAAGCTGGAATCAATTTTTATCCTCTCTTATATTTTTTTTAGACAGGATCTCACTCTGTTGCCCAGGCTGGGGCGCAGTGGCACGATATCAGCCCAATGCATCCTCTGCCTCCCGGGTTCAAGCAATTCTTCCACCTCAACCTCCCGAATAGCCGGGAGTACAGGCTGTATTCTTTGGGCTGTGCCAAGTTGTTCCTACTTTGACAGATACATGATACATAGAGATGAATGGCTATCATTAGTTTTTAAGGTGCTATATCTGTCTATTCAATTACTATAGAATAAATGCCTATTATTTTCTTCCTGCAAAGTATAATGCAAATTACTGTCTTATTTTTCAGGCAGTCCTTGACAAAGAACTACAACTCAATTATCCATTCTCCTACCTGAATTAGTGCAACTTTTGAAGCATCAAACATACTCAGGTATTTTTCTATGTTATATATGCAAATAATTCAGATCCCTGCTAATCCATTTCTTAAAAATGCAATGGTGTGTTGATCTGGCATTTCCAATCACAGTTTGACCTACTGTGAGAAAGCACCAATGTACATTTTCTCATCAGTGCATCCCTAACAACTAGTAAGTCCTTAGCATATAGTAGGTGTTCATTAAGTATTTGCTGAATTAATGAATCTAAATTTGAGAATAAAATGTAAATGGATGGTTTTTATGAAGTATACAAAAATAAAATATTCACAAGTTAACTTAGAGTATTCAATACATTCAAATTATGCCTTCATTTGAATGTTCTCATCATTATTTTACTCAAATGGAATATAACTTCCAATATAAATCATCTTAAAAGTACTGTTTAGCAAATTATTTATCCTGATATTAATTACAATTTGACCATATATTTTTGCTATCATGTTGCTTTCTTTTTAAAAAACTTAAGTTAGAATTGTAAAACTCCCATATACTGCTGCTTCATACAAATACTGAATACTTCCAGCAGAGGGCTCAAGAATTCTATTTTAAGGAAAAAAGAATTCCTTATTATGAATATTTAAGGAAAAGTGAAAGAAAAGAAAGAAAATAAGATGTTTTGTAGTCTATGCATACATTATGTGTAGTCTATGTATTTTGTAGTGTATGTGTAGTATATGCACAGACTACAAAATATCTATGTATGAATGCATAGTATATAAATAAAAATGCATAGTATATAAATAAAAGGCATAGTACACAATAAATTTATTTAATACATTTATTATATACTATGCATATAAATGCATAGTATATAAATTAAAAAAAACAAATGTACTTATATCTTACCTAATTCCAGAAAAGAAGTTGAAGTAAATTACAATCACAAAATCTTTATAAAATCACATAGACATATGGGCATCTGAAGAAAATGGGCATCCGAAGAAAGCAGAAAGATAACATATAACATGTAAGTAAGTGAGAATTTGAAGTGAAAATATTTTTTTACTTTTAGTCTTATTAATAATTTTATAAAAATTTGGGTTGTGTTTTTTCATTTTCAAAGATAAAGTAATTTCTTTTTATAGAATTTGCAGTATCCTTATATTTAGTGCTGAAACAAGGAGGAAAAAAATTTGGGAAATGTGTGGAATGATTTATTTATGGAGCAAGCTGGGAATTTGGAGGCACTTCATTTTCATAGGCAGAGCTAATGGGCTGTAGCATTCATGCCTACAACTAACATTAAGATCCCTCTGGGATTCCAAAAATGTTCAGAAAGAGGTCTCAAATCTTTTTATTCAGTCTAGTTACTTATTATCTTCTCTGCCTCATTTCAAAAAGGATCTGAGGCATCAATACAAGCATTTAAATATTAAGAATAAAAATAACTCAAAGCAAGAGAAAAGAGGAAACAATATGAGGTCAGGAGAGAATGTGTGTGCGTGTGTGTGTGTGTGTGTGTATCCATCCTCATAACTATTATAAGTGGGTCACAATGTGGCTCTATGCTTCCTAGCATCAAAACTGAAAAAGAAATGTAACCTAATGCAAGATTAAAAGGTGAAAATACTAAGGAGATTTCTAGATTCTCCAGACCCTGAGATGTAATGGAAATTTCCCAGCAGACATTAAGAGGGTTATTGAATGATTTGCTTGATAATACTTCTAATAATACCATCAGAAGTTTATATTATAGAACATTGCATAAAAAGTGAAGGTTAATAAAGAGATTATTTAAGACCCAGACATCCAGTTTTCTGGTTTTCTGGCTTGATCTAGGTATAAAATTTAAAATATTTAAGAAGTCCTTCTCAATCGAGTCAATACTACCTTCTCAGGGAAATTCGGAAATTTGCGGGGATATTTCTGGTCCTCCCAGGAGGGTGGGCAATATTGGCCTTTATTGGGCAGTGGCTGGGAGGCTAGATGCCAGGCAACACACAGGGCGGTCACCAACCATGAGGACTGACCTACAGCCTGCACGCCGGAATGCCCTGCTGGGTGTGCAAAGAAGTGAAACATTTGTTTACACAGATTGAAGCCCCGAACCTAACTCTGTTTTACATATAAACACATTCTTTGATGTTCTGTGTCAGAATACATTGGCTTTTCCAGGAATGCTACGCCCATAAAAACAAAGAGAAGACTGTTACTTTGTTTTGTTTAGAATTGTATAATACCAAGAGTTGTTCATTATTTTGGAAAATCATGTCACATGCCACCTGGGATCTGTCCTTGTGGTATCTGAGTTGACAGTACAACATTCATTCACCAGTCTGCATCTGCATGTGCATCTGCTGTCCCAATCATGGTGATTCTCCCTATGGGGGCAGACAGGAGACTACTTCATTATGTCTTTTGGAAGGGTTGTACCCCAGCATGTACACACTGAAATATAAAGGATTTTAAACACAAACTTCTTTCGTTTGTTCTTTTACATATGGTTAGGAAATTCTATTGGTGCTTAGAGTAATTTGTGTAAGTATGTTATATTGTCTAGGAATTTCATTTTAGGATAGTAAAGGTGGCCTTTTTATATTAAGGACTGACAGTTGAGGTTGAGAACCACCAAGCCAGATGAATAGACTGCATATCTTCTGGGGATCCTTTATGTGTAAAATTTCTCCTAAATGAACTTCTAGTAAGAGTTGTCCAGAAAACAGGATAAGGCTGGAGCACAATTGTTCTTTTTTTCTCAATAAGAGAAAAAGTTCATGTGCTTTAAAAATCCATCAATAGGCTGATATCTTCTTATGAAATTTAAGGAACTAACCAAGACTCCCCACTATATAAATGATTAACTTCCCTCCACTAAGATGATTTGAGGGAGCACCTAAAGGAAGGATCGAAATTTCTTTAGGAAATGATTCTGAGTGCAGTCAACACTCAGAAATTCACATGATCAAGAAGGAACAAAGTTGTAATGATTTCTGTGCTGTTTACCCACCATGGCAAAGTAAAAATCTCAGATGCACACCATGGATTATGAAATATGTAGCAATGGAACTTTCTGTTGAAACATTCAGAAGAAACAGGTGCACAGAAGTGCAAAACCCACTGAGTTAACTAGGAGGGTTGATCTACTGTTTGGAGTTACTGGATACTCGCCATTTCTACTTTGGAGAATGTCAGAGAAAGACTGTTTATTGCCCCACCTATGACAATAAAACCATTATCAAGAGCAAAAAGGAAATATTTCTTTTTCTATTCCCAATACTGGCAATGGGGTAGGGTGGGAGGTGCTGAGAGTTGGAAGGAGAATGGAGGAAAGAACAACAAATCCAGCTCATTTGAATGGATTTTTACACAAGGGAGATATGGTTAAAACACAGAAGGGGCCACACTCATCCTTGTCATCTATATTATCTAAGATATCTGGAGACCCTCACAGTGTTATCAGTGTGCATGATCTGTACATACGACCTCAGGCACCTTAGCCCACAGTGGGTTCCTCAGCACAGAATTGGTGCCAGAAAAGATTATAAATGCTGTAAGAATATTGTTCAAACACATGTGTTTTTTGTTTGTTTGTTTGTTTGTTTGAGATGGAGTTTTGCTCTTGTTGCCCAGGCTGGAGTGCAGTGGCATGATCTCGGCTCACTGCAGCCTCCACTTCCCGAGTTCAAGCGGTTCTCCTGCCTCAGCCTCCTGAGTAGCTGGGATTACAGATGTCCACCGCCACACCTGGCTATTTTTTTTATTTTTAGTAGAGATGGGGTTTTGCCATGTTGGCCAGGCTGGTCTCAAACTCCTGACCACAGGTGATCTGCCCACCTCGGCCTCCCAAAGTGCTGGGATTACAGGCATGAGCCACTGCGTCCAGCCCACATTGTGTTTTCATTAGGTGACTGAGTTTAATAATATTCCAAAGGAAAATGTCTGTGCCTGAAATGTGACTATTACTCAAGTAGAATGCTAGATTAATGTAATAGAGTCTGCCCCTATTTTTGTTATTTCACTCCGGATGGCTTTCAAGCCCCACCTTTCCCTATTTTCCTGCTTGCCTTACATCTGAGCAAAGGTTTAAAAAAGCCTGAAAACTCTCTCCAAAATACACAAGCCCTACCTGCGGGTAGCCCTTGCCCCTGCCCCACAATAAAAGCCAAAGCCAGCCATACCTCCATGCTCTCTCAAGCCATTTTTGCACCTGCTTAGGAGTCACCCTGCTCTCTCCAGAAAGCCTCATTATGTGAGGAATAAACCTTTTCACATCCTGTTGGGGTGTGTGGCATTATCAGTCTCAACATCCAAATCAGATTTTGGGTTGGGGGGTTGCGCATTCTATTTCTGCCAAGTGACAGCAAGAAAATGAAGACATAAATTTATAAATTATTTGGGAAAACAGGAATACATTTTTCAAAAATCAAAACATACTGAATTGGAAAGCTGATCTTAGAAGGGTGGCCACAGTTAAACTTCTTTGCACAGAGACATTTTAGACATGAATCTGCTGAACGAATGGCTTTATGATTCTTGCAGCACAAACTAGACTCTGAGCACATTCTGACTGGATAGCACAGAGAAATTTAATAAAGGAGAACAGACTGGCGTGAAGCAAAGACTGTCACTTAGAATTGGCCCTGCCCTACAGGTGGGAGGCCCTCCTACATGACCTGACTGTGAATCAGCTGTTCTCTGTGAGAAAGAGACAGGTCTTGGGACCAACAAAGCTGTTCATATTTTATGACTTCACTGTCAAACAGGAAGCAGACTAATCTGCTTGTTTGTTTCAATAATGCACTGATAAAAGAGAAAATCTACCCCAAGGCAAATAACTAGTTTCAAAAGATCTAAAAAAGCAAAAAAGTAACTGATGAAATTCAAACTTCCTCTTTTGTTTCACACTTCTCAAACTTTCCATGTCAACACTCCAGTTATGGACTCTGGCATAGCTCTGACAAGAAGGTAAGGAGAAATGTCACTTTCTGCAAAATTCAAAATAAAGTAGTTCCCCCCCGCCCCCCGTTATCGACGGTTTCGCTTTCTACGGTTTCAGTTACCCATGGTAAACTGCAGTCCAAAAACATTAAATAGAAAATTCTAGAAATAAACGATTCATGAGTTTTAAATTATGCACCATTCTGAGTGGCATGATGCAATCTCCCACCATCCCACTCTGTCCTACCAAGACATGAATCATTCCTTTGTTCAGCATATCCTCATTGTAGATGCTCTCTGCCTGTTAGTAACCTAGTAGCCCTCTGGGTTATCAGACCACTGTGGCAGTATCTCAGTGCTTGTGTTTATTTTACTTAATAATGGCCCCAAGGTACAAGAGAAGTGATGCTGGTGTATTGTTATAATTGTTCTACTTTATTGTTAGTAATTGTTGTTAATCTTATTGTGCCTAATTTATAAACTAAATTTTATGACAGGTGTGTATGGATAGGAAAAAAACATAGTATATATAGGGTTTGGTACTTATCTGAGGTTTCAGGCATCCACTGGGGTCTTGGAATATAGCCCCAGCAGGTAAGGAAGGGATGCTATATTCTTCCTTAAAATGTGGATTTCACTGTGTACCCTCCAGAGTGCAAGGCACAGTGGAGGTGCCTCAGGGCCTTTTACTTGCCAGGTAGGTACTGCCAGCTAAAGAAAGGATTGGGAAGCTAAAATATTTAAACCACTGAATAGTCTTAACACTACTCCTGAGAGAAACATTTTAAAAATTTTCTCCCATGTTTGCTCCATGTGCTACTATTTAGCTCAATTGGGTTATATTTATAAGTAAATCCGACAGAGACTTTCTCCATATAAATGGATACTTCTACCCCTGAAGGGATGGTCCATGAGAAAGCAGATCCAATTAAGATTCCTGTCACTCTGCTGCCTGGCCTGATGCTCAGGTCTCCCGAGAAAAGTATTCTGCTGTGGGGAATACAGTTTCAATGATCATCAAAATGTAATGCACAGTGTTTGCATTATCAGGGCTATATAAAAAAAGTCATGTGAACTTATTAGGGAACCAAATGACAATCAAAAAAACAAAGTTACTATGGTGAGACCTCTGACTGAATGAATATTTTTAAAGTAATTTTTCCCTTAACAGAGTATGATAGTTTTCTTGATTGCCAAAAGGCTTCAAAATAAGAACAGTAATGGTGATACAATATTTCCTTGTAAAGATCGTATTGAAGCATTCTCTGGGTCAGAGAAATGTATTTAGGGTGACTATCCCCCAAGAGATGGGTTCTTCTATGATTTTCAGAAGCCAAGGGCTGGAGTTACTGAATAATAAAGAGAAATGCAAGGGAACACAGATCCCAAGGCATCCTTCTTCAGAAGCCCGGATATGACATAATTGGTTCACAGCTGACAGAGTTAGCAGTGCCTGGAAGTGGAGAATTGTAAAGGGGACTATAAACGTCACTATCATTTGGTGCAGAGTTTATCTCTCCACTGGGTTTCTGGAACCTCTTCATCAGTCTCCAAGGGACAGAAAAGGAGGAGAGCTCTCCGGAAATTAAGAGGAAGCTAACTAGGTTTCAACCCTTCCTCCACTACATGTAAGGTATTTATCACAGTGCTTGGCATATAGTGTATATTCCTTGACATCATCATAGCCAGAGTGTTAAACAATAAACTTTATTGTGGTTCGCAGTCCTATTTGCTTCCATTTCGGTCCTAAGGTACTCAAATTTCTAAAGGCTTATCCCAAGGCCTTTGGTGCTGGAAGTTCTACTTTCCAAGCAGGGCTCTTCTTTTTATAAAAGGGTCTTGATGTTTTCTGCTCTTCACTGTCAGGCTGGGTTTTTTGGTTTTTGCTTTTTGATTTTCTAAAAACACCTGCCTGCTCCTGGGTGGCTGACCTCTTGTCTAGTTTGGACTGGGATCCATCTCCCAGGCAACATTTCCATCAGAGTATTTCTCTTCCTTCTTCCTCATACCTCTTCTACTCAGGACTGGTCTGAAACATGAAAAAACTTGGCCACAGTTTCAAAGTGAGGAGAGTAAGGGAGGCCAGAGTAACAGGATGGGCCCTCTTGCCCACCAGTGTAACTGGAGTTTGTATTTTCTTAGATTCACTTTGTCCTTTTCTCTCTAAGGCAGATCTGCCCAGAGTCAGTTTATGTCACCATTTGCTTCCAACCTTGCTCCCAAAACAAGCCCTGCAGAGCAAGAGCAGCCTGGCCTCTATGCCCTCCACCATTGGTTCTGCTGTAATAATGGCCTCCATGCATGGCTGTGCAAGGACACCCATGAAGACTGCACTGCATCCCAAGGTCTATTCAAGCAGTGTCCCAAACACAGTGTGCCCAGAAGAAGGGCATATTTCTCATTAGTGCAAAGGCAGAGTGAATGCTTATGCAGCCCTGTTTGCTACTTGATAGGAAATGCATGCATTTTCAGAATATGTATTAATATTAAGAGGAAAATTTGCTTTTTCTTTAAAATTTCCTGGATGAAATCTGTAGGCCAATTTTAAGAAGGCTACACTTTAGAGCAATGTGTAGGAGGAACACGCACACATCTTGTTACACTTAGAGGCATTCATTCATCACTCCCACTCTATACTTCCAATTTCTCTCCAAGACAGCAACAATTTTCAGACACTTAAAATACGTACATTTCATACTATGCATATTACAACTGACTAAACATATAATCAACTGTTAGAAATAGCTATAGGCAGATACACTCGATGTTAACCCTGAATTTTTACAAATCTATATACATATCACGGATAAAGACTACATGTCAGTGAATGTCCCTAATACTAAATAACAGTTAAGAAACTGAAGAATTATGCTTTCACTCACATTCCTATGCTCCAACCTTTTTGCTTAATGTTAATGTCGACTCCATAGTAAGAGAAAGCAGCTGTTCAACAATCTCAAGTAAACTGCAACTTCATTCTTTTTGCCATCAGCTGTGTCCATGTCTCAAAGGGAAAATAGATTTATTACAAATTAAAGATGTTTCAGAACCAAACTTTCTTGGATGTTGTTCAAGAAAGGCTGTAGAGGTATCAACTTCTACTCTGTGGCAAAGAGTGATCACATAGGGAGAACAAGTCTAAGCCCTCATGGACTGACTTGAAAAGGCACAGTTTCCAAGTTTAGAAAACCACCAAGATAGTGGACTCTGTAAATGCCCAAACACTTTTCTGCCTCCTTCAACAAAGTATAACAAAGTATAACTTAATCTTTTCTTAATGACAGATTATAATAAAAAACGAACAACAGACTTGAAATTAGTAGGACTCGGTTTGACTAATTGGGCCAAAATATATGAGAGAATGATCTTAGTCAATTCACTGCATTTCCCTGGGCCTGTCATCTTTCAAGTGGGGTCACAGCATTCCTTAGAGCTGTTTTAAAGATTAGTTTAAACAGCACGCATAAAGTGCCTAGTGCTGTCCCCTGGCTTTTTCAGAAGGTGCTCCAGGAAATGTCAGCCCCCTTCCTGTCCTCTCAGCACACAATTTGAACAGATGAATTACTGCTGTATGCCACAGACTGTCATATGCCTCTGTGGATGCACAGTCAGAATAAGTCTCTGGTGTTTGGACAGAATAATTGCAACCCCAGATCTGGCCCTAGGACTTGCTTTTCTTTCTTTCTTTTTAAAGGCACTTACACCAGATATATTTTCATCTCATTTGGCTTTCTTTTTCTCATAAAAGTAGAATTTAAGCACCTAAGGCATATGACTCCTGGGCAATGGGATATGGCTGCCCTTCTGCAAATATCTTCCTGCTTTCCAAGTAGGTTTCTTCACCTTCAAAAAGTCAGCTCCCTTTCTGCTATCTTCACTTCAGTTCACATTTCATAGATCCTTTGTGTGACAGGAATTACACGCACACATGCGTGCACACACACACGCACATACACATCAACTTAGCCATTCTGAAGGAAATCACAAAGCAATCAAGCAAGCAATAAGGCAGCCACATATATTTGCATGTGTATTTTAACTCAGCCTTCCCAGGAATTTGTGCTCTTGAGTTTCCTAATACTTCAAACATGCTTTACAGACCATTGCCTCTAAGCTTAAACCATTTAGTTGCTAATGCAGCTGAGTGCAGATATTATTTACTTGGGTAGTTTTACAAAAAAAAAATTACTATTTCATCCCATGGCACACCTGTGAAGTAAGAGCTATGGGTTTTCAATCTTACTCTAGAGATGGGCAAATACAGATGTGACTGCATGTAATTCAAGTATAAAAAGAGAAATAATAAGACAGAATTTAGAGATGGTATCTTTCTTCACATCTGTAAACCAAAAAACACAAAATACATGATTTACTCACTTCACTAGGAATATATTTTGGCAACTCTGTGAATGATAATGGCCTGCCTTAATTTCCTAAGTCTTGAAATTTGGCTGGGCTAATCTTGAATTTGTGATCCATCACCTTTCTTTCTCCTGTTATACTTTCTACTTGATTAATGGCTTATTTCCTTTATACTTACTATTTTCTTCTAGCTGCCAGAGTTGCCTCAATTATTCTAAGACACATATCTTAAATTCTACTAACTCCAGAAAAGAGAATAAATGATATCATACGTTTTAATAAGCCTCTAAAGAAAACTTAGTGAAAAATAGAGACTACAAAGACAATAGAAAAGATTAATGAAAGTGAAACTTCATTATTTGAAAAGATAAAATCAACAAAACTTTAGCCAGACTAAGAAAAAAAACGAGAAGATTCAAATAAATAAAATCAGAAATGAAAGAGAAGATATTACAACAGATATCATAGACATACAAAGGACCATAAGAGACTACTATGAATAATTATACACCAAAAAATTGGATAATCTAGAAGAAATGGATGAAGTCCTAGAAACATACAACCTAGCAAGACTGAATAAAAAAGTAATAAAAAATCTGAACAGACCAATAGCAAGTAAGGAGATTATATCAATACTATTAATAAAAAATATCTCCCATTAAAGAAAAATCTAGGACCTTATAGCATCACAGCAGAATTCTACCAAACATTTAAAGAAGAAAGAATATCAATCTCTCTTAAAACTCTTTCAGAAAATTAAAGAAGGAATACTTTCAAATTCATTTTATGAGACTAGCATTATTCTGATACCAAAGCCAGACAAAGACACTACAAGAAAAGAAAATTCCAGGCCAATATCCATGATGAACATGGCTGCAAAACTCCTCAAGAAAATACTAGCAAACTACATTCAACAGCACAGTGAATGATTAAAAGAATCATTCACTATGATCAAGGGAGATTTATCCCTGGGATGCAATGATGATTCAACATATGCAAATATTAATAAATAAATGCAATATACCATATTAACAGAATGACAGATAACAACCATACGATCATCTGAATAGATTCAGAAAAAGCATTTGACAAAATTCAGCATCCTATCATGATAAAAACTCTCAACAAGTTAGGCATAGAAAGAATGTATATCAATACAATAAAGGCCATATCTGAAAAGCCCAGAGTTAACATTATACTTAGTGGTGAAAAGTTGAAAGCTCCTCCTTTAAGATCAGAAACAAGACAAGTATGCCCATTTTGACCACTTCTATTCAACATAGTACTGGAAGTTCTAGCCAGAGAAATTAGACAAGAAAAAAAAAATACAACTGAGAACTCGAATAGTTAAAGCAATCTTGTGCAAAAAGAACAAAGCTAGAGCCATCACAAGAAGATGAGAAAATAAATAACCCAATCAAAAAGCTGGCAAAGGACCTAATAGACACTTCTCAAAAGAAGACATACAGATGGCCAACAGATATATGAAAAAAAATTCATCATCATTAGTCATCAGGGAAATGCAAATTAAAACTATGGTGAGATATCGCCTCACCCCTACTATAAAAAAAAGACAATCGATAACAAGTATTGATGAGGGTGTGGAGAAAAACCTTTGTGCACTGTTAGTGGGAATATAAATTAATACACCCATTATGTTAAACAGTATGGAGGTTCTTCAAAAAAGTAAAAATAAAATTACCATATGAACCAGCAATTCCACTTCTGGGTAATAGCCAAAGGAACTGAAATTAGTATGCTATAGAGACATCTGCCTACCCATGTTCACTGCAGCATTATTCGCAGTAACTAAGATATGAATGCAACCTAGTTGTCCATCATCAGATGAATAAAGAAAAGATGGTATGTATACACAACATACTGCTATTTAGCTTTAAGAAGCAGATAAATCCTGTCATTTGCAATGACATGGATGAACTTTGAGGACATTATGTTAAGTGAAATAAGCAAGGCACAGAAAGACAAATACTTCATGATCTCACTTATATGCTGAATCTAAAAAAGTTGAACTCATAGAAGTAGCAAGTAGAATGATGGTTACCAAAGGCTAGGGGAGGGTGTTTTCTTAGTCCATTTGGAGTTGTTATAAAGGAATACCTGACATTGGGTAACTTATATAAGAAAGAGGTTTATTTGGCTTATGGTTCTGCAGGCTAAACAAGAAACATAGCTCCAGCATCTGCTTCTGGTGAGGGTTTCAGGCTGTTTCCACTCATGGCAGAGGAGAAGCGGAGCTGGCATGTGCCAAGATCACATAGTAAGAGAGGAAGCACGAGAGTGGGAAGGAGGTGCCAGCCTCTTTTTAATAAATAGCTTTTTCAGGAATTAACAGTGAGAACTCACTCACACCCTGAGGGAGAGCATCAGCCTTTTCACGAAGAATCAATCAACATGACCCCAACATCCACCTACAGACCCGACCTCCAACACTGGGGATCAAATTTCAACATGAGATTTGGAGAGGACAAACATCCAAACTGTAGCAGGGGTGGATGGACTAATGGGAGATGTTGATCAAAGGGTATATAGTTTCAGTTAGACAGCAGGAATAAGCTGTAGTGATCTACTTCACAGAATGGTAACTATAATAAATAATAATGCATTGTATAGTTCAACATTGCTAGAAGAGTGCATTTTAAATGTTTTCACCACAAAAAAAATAGGTAGGTAGGTGAGGTGATAAATTTGTTAATTAGCCTGATTTAATCATTCCACATTGTAAACATATATCAGAACATCACATTTACATCACATAAGTATATACAATTATTATTTGCTAATTAAGAATAAAATTAAACAAAAATAAAATTCAGTAGAAAAATGAGCTCCCACACATTCTTCAAGACACAAATACCACCCTATCTGTAAAATTGTGTACTGATAGCCACACCTGACCACATGCATCCTTCTCCCACTCTGTTTTGTATTCTGCTTCTGTTATAACTCCAATACCAGTGAGGATTTTAATCATGTATTTGCCTGTCTTTCTCTTACTAGGATGTGAGCATCTCAAGAGAAGACACTTTCATTTTAGCATAGAAGATACTAAATCCACGTTGGATGAAATGTTGTTAAAGAACAACAATTTATAAAAGGGGAGCTAAACATCCAGTCTGTATTTGAATTGATTTATTTGAGTAGTTCTCAAATGTAAATGGATATCCTCTGATGTCCTATAAATCCTATAACAACTTTGGTCATTAATGTATTAGGATTTCAAACCATCACAATCTACTAATCTAAATGCCTTCAATTCTGACTCTGAGATATGTGGAGGACATGGTACCAAGACGTTGGACATAAATTTTTGGGGATCTAAATTTTTTGTCTTGTTTTTAAGGCAATAAAGCCATGATTGAGTCACCGAGCTTCAGTGATAACAATGAGAATCCATTATCTTGCAAACTCTTTCCCTTACGATAGTTCTTTAAGATATTCAAAAAATTACACCAGCAAGCACTGAGTTAAATTTAAAATACTATGTTCACTGGATCATATTAAAAAATCAAATTGCTTTACTTACCTTTCCATAACTTTAGTCATAAAATTAAGAGGATGTGAATCTTATTTTTAACATCAAAATGAGTAACAAGAACAATAACTAAATCTCATACCTCAAGGATAATCTCCTTTGGTTAGATGTAGTTGAAATGTTAAACTTTACAGATCACATTTAATACCATACCTGTCCTGTGTATGCAAACTCCAGAGCCTGCTTTAAGCCAAGGCTGGTCACACCGTGCAAATTAACCTCATCAGCTCCACTTTCCACCATACAAAGACTGAACATTGCCTGAGGTGAGGAAAGGGAGAAAGACAGTTATGAGACTTTGACAGCAAGGGAGCAAGACAAAATTCTAGAGAGACTAGGGGAAAAAAAAGTTTTACAAATTAATAATTGATTTTGATTTTTGAAATGCTTCTAGAAAGTGTCATTCACACAAACCACTGCAAATCATTTTGATGTCTGAACAGTTGCAATAACAACACACACAGGATGGCATTCCTCACCATATACAGTACTTCTATATGTAATACACAGTCTCATTTTGAGGTGATAGTATTTAGGCCCACCGAACGCTTTCTCTTGGTCCTGGATTCTCATTGCTACCAAGTTATATGCAGCAATGCCAAACATCCTGCCCAATAGGACATGAAAAGCCTTCATCTTCTGACTTCTCTGCTTTTTTCTGCCTCAGTCCAATGAAACAGCTAGTTCCTCTCATCTGCCATTGTATTAGTTCATTTTCATATGCTATAAAGAACTGCCTGAGACTAGGTGACTTATAAAGGAAAGAGGTTTAATTGACTCACAGTTCAGAATGACTGGGGAGGCCTCAGGAAACTTACAATAATGGTGGAAGGCGAAGGCGAAGGTGAAGGCGAAGCAAGGCACCTTTTTCACAAGGCAGCAGAAAGGAGAAGTGCCGAGGGAAGGGGAAGAGCCCTTTATAAAACCATCAGATCTTGTGAGAACTCACTCACTATCATGAGAACAGCATGGGGGAAATCGCCCCCATGATCCAATTACCCTCCATCTGGTCTCTCCCTTGACATGTGGGGATTATAGGGACTATGGGGATTACAATTTAAGATGAGATTCGGGTGGGGATACAAAGCCATGTATCACACACTCCGTTTCAGTTGTTCTCAAAGTGTAGCCCTTGGACCAGCGACATCAGGATCACCTGGGAACGTGTCTGAGTACAGACTCTCAGGGCCCCAATGCAGATTTACTGAAACTGATACTCCAAGCAGGGCCCAGCAATCTGTGCTGTAATAGGCCCTCCAGGTGACT